>NC_000010.11:2434242-2585757 GCF_000001405.40 Homo sapiens | reverse complement strand
CTAAATGTGCATGTTGGCCATTTCTTCTGCAATTTTCCACTTGTCTACGAATATTAATAAACTAATTTACAGTAGTTTTAGTAACCGATGAGTAATTTACTTGTTAGAATTTGTTTTTTAAAAGCCACAATAATGGTAATAGTAACAAAGAAAACAAGCATTGGCCCTTGGACGGGGAGACAGATGGTAGCAGCAGTTTCTCTGACTCTCTTCTACTTGTTATTTGACAACGAATAAACCTCCATAAGCATTCCACTGCTAGAATATATGGCTCCTGGTGTAGGGAGATGCACACAAAAGACTCAGAACTGTGTTTGGCATGGAGGAAGTGTTCAATCAAGGTTAGCTGGATGCAAACGTTTCCACATCAGACAAGCTAACCAATCATCCACTATTGGAGAAATATTGAATGCCTAGCATCAGGCAGTCCTCTTGATTTGGACATCGGAATTTTATGAATGCATCTCTGAGGTTGCATCATCTTTTGATTTTTTTACATGCTATGAGCTTACAATATGATTTATTGTTCGTATCAAAACTTCTAGAAAACTCTGGCACATAAATTGCTGTTTGACTGAGTCTTCCCTGACTCTACATGTGTAGTGTTTTTAGTTTCTGTCTAAATTATGGATTTCATTTTAGTTTTTCTATTGTCAGTTGAAATGCTTATTACACAAAGAACACATATGCCAATGCATTTTCCTTGAGAAAAACAGCAGACAATGTCCTATGTGCCCTCCATTCCCCATTGTGCCCCCACGTACACTGACATGGACTCCTGTTCCTTCTCATTGCTTCTTCTGGTTGGGTATTCTCTACCCATCTTGTACAGGGTATCACATAAAGATGACCTCCCAGAGAATTTATGGAAATTACCTCTTTAAAATTAAGAATCATACACTGGCTTGTGTGTTGTTTTGCTTTTTGGATTTGCTTTAACTAATAGACTAATTTTTAGAGATGTCTGAGATTTACAAAACAATTGAGCAGAAAATATCGAGTTCCCACCTACTCCTTAACCTCCCCACCTCATCTTCACACAGGTTCCCCTATTCATCACATCTTCAATGCAGTGCATTTGTTACCATTGATGAGCCAGTGTTGACACATTGTAGTAAAGTCCATATTGTACATTAGCGTTCACTTATGTGCTGTACACTCTATAGGTTTTGACAAGTATGTACTGACATGTTCTCAGTATTGTACAGAATAGTTTCACAATCCTAAAAATCCACTGTGCTCTGTTTATCCATTCTTTGCCCTTCCCCAACTTTCCTGACAACCTCTATTCTTTTTACTACCTCTATAGTTTTTCATTTTCCAGAATGTCATATTGTTGGAAATTGACTGTATGCCTTTTCAGATACACTTCTTCCACTTAGTAATGTACATGTATATATATTTATATATTTATTTAATATATAAATTTATATTATATATTTATTTAATATATAAATTTATATAATATATATTTATGTAATATATAAATTTATATAATATATATTTATGTAATATACAAATTTATAATATATATTTATTTAATATACAAATTTATATAATATATATTTATATATTTGTTTAATATACAAATGTATATATATATATTTATATATTTGTTTAATATACAAATGTATATATATATTTATATATTTGTTTAATATACAAATGTATATAATATATATTTATATATTTGTTTAATATACAAATGTATATAATATATATTTATATATTTGTTTAATATACAAATGTATATAATATATATTTATATATTTGTTTAATATACAAATTTATATAATATATATTTATGTATTTGTTTAATATACAAATGTATATAATATATATTTATGTATTTGTTTAATATACAAATGTATATAATATATATTTATGTATTTGTTTAATATACAAATGTATATAATATATATTTATGTATTTGTTTAATATACAAATGTATATAATATATATTTATGTATTTGTTTAATACACAAATGTATATAATATATATGTATGTATTTGTTTAATATACAAATGTATATAATATATATTTATGTATTTATTTAATATACAAATGTATATAATATATATTTATGTATTTATTTAATATACAAATGTATATAATATATATTTATATATGTATTTAATATACAAATGTATGTAATATATATTTATATATGTATTTAATATACAAATTTATATAATATATATTTATATATTTACTTAATATACAAATTTATATTATATATTTATATATTTACTTAATATACAAATTTATATAATATATATTTATATATTTACTGAATACACAAATTTATATAATATATATTTATATATTATTTAATATATAAATTTATATAATATATATCTATATATTTATTTAATATATAAATTTATTTAATATATATTTTATTTATATAAGGTATATTTAAGGTTCTTCCATGTCTTTTCATGGCTTGATAGCTTATTTCTTTTTTGCTGAATAATATTCCACTGTAATATTATTTTTAGTATTACAAAACCCTACAGTTTGTTTATCCATTCACCTACTGAATGGCATCTTGGTTGCTTCCAAATTTGAACAATTATTAATAAAGCTGTTGTAAACATTTGAATGCATGTTTTGGTGTACACATAAGTCTTCAGCTCCTTTGGGTAAGTAACAAGCACTGTGATTCCTGGTCTGACCAGGAATTCTAACATATCATGTCTCAGTCTTCTTTTGAGGTTTACTGTGTCTCTTCAACTTATGGTCGTGTGTGTGTGTTTGTCTTTTAGTATGCCTTAGAAATTTGTTAAAGCTGAGTAAACATTAAATGTGAAATGTGTCTCCCTCCTAACTCCTCACCTCCACTTCAGCAAGGCTCTCTAAAATAGTAGGAGAACATGACTGACAAAACGGCATGTCTCAGACATTATTTAAGAAGAAGTCTCTAGGGATACCCAAAGGCAACGGAGGAGCCATAAACAAGGATATCATAGGGAATTTTAGCCTCTAACACATACAGCTATGGCAAGAAGTAAGCACAGCCTCACCCCTAGTCAGATTAACACAAAACCTTGTGCTAAAGGCCTGTTTACCTCAGTTCTTGTTACCAAGTACAACTTATTCAGCTTTTAAAAATTTCTAAGGCATACTAAATACTAAATTTTCATGAAGGGAAATTATTTTATTAGAGTTTAGCAGACTGGAGATTTACTAAAGTCTTACTGATACCAAGAAGGGAAAACACATTTTCATGTTCTAAATAGATCTGCTGATCTATTTGTCTGTTCCAAACAAATACTACCCCCTTTAATTAAAAAAAATTTTTCTTATACTGTACTGTGATATCTGTTAGGATGAATCTCAACTATTTGTTATATTTGTTGTATATTATGGTGTCTGTGCACATTTATTCCTCTATATTAATTTTAGAAGCAGCTTGTCAAGTCCCTTAATGATAAGGGCTTGATTGGGAGTAAATGAGGAAATATTTTGGATTTTAAAAAATCAAGAAAATGGATATTTTACAAAATTGAATCTTCCATTGAAGGTGGCATGTATCTCCAGGTACTCAGCTTTGTTTTTAACCTTCCTAAACTTAGATTGTTTTCGGAATCTGGTATCCATGTTTCATGGCCAAAAACTAACAAATTTCTACTACCTTTGCTTCTTTAAATGTTCTAAGTCTTTTACAAAAATGTTCTTTCTTCATGAGACAATATTGCTATAAATATATATTTTCCAACAATCACTTATCAAATAATAAATAATTACTTACATGTTGTGATAATAAACTAGACTTTTATTCTTGTCATTACTTATTGAACCTCACACAGTGCTTCTTGCTACAGCCTTTCCTTTAGTAATATTCTCAGAGAAGGTCTGAGTTATTTAAGCATCTTTATCATTTTGCTCTCAATTTAAGTGATAATTATTTTCAGTATGGGAAATGAATCCCAAATTTCTCCCCATACAGATATCTTTTATGCTTTTAATCAGCATACTTAAAATTATTAAGATAATACAGTATTCAAAATATTTAACATACTTCTTATAACTCTCATATTTGATCTAAAAACCAATCTTACAATAATGTTATCAAGGTTGTCTGAACGCAGAGCAGGCTTGGATCAAAGACTTCACTGTAGCCCTCCCCATGGAAACCTATACTCCACTTAAAAATGTTTTATTCACTGAAATTCTGGCCAACTGTGTTCTAACATAGAATACTTCGCTTAAATATAGGCACATTTTTCCCCAGTTGCCTATAAATGTACAATACATTTTTATACAGAAAACAAATTATGTACTCAATGTCTACAGAATTTTCTTGTACTTCAGTCTAGACATTCTACTAAAAAGTAAGGTGACTTTAGGATAGGGTGATTATTTTCCTGCGATACAGTAATGATTATTTGTTGCTTTTTCCCCATGCCTCTTAATATAGTTTCAGAAATATTCTGATCAAAGTTAATTTAAAGTTCTAAATGATCATTCTCATCATTTAGAGTTCATGTGGTCAACTCTACTTCTGCCCTTTGAAAATCAGAATATATATATTTTTGTTTTCCATTTTACACGATTTTAAATTGATCATTAAAATTATTTCTCTAGTATTATCTGTATCTTTTTAGTGTTATAAGAATATATTAAATCTACATTAATTTAAATTATTACTTTTTCTCTATCTCTTCATCTAAGCTGGAATTCAGTATCCCTTTAATAACGTAAGGTCTGGCCGGGCGCGGTGGCTCACCCCTGTGGTCCCAGCATCTTGGGAGGCCGAGGCGAGCGAATCACCTGAGGTTGGGAGTTTGAGACCAGCCTGACCATCATGGGGAAACCCCGTCTCTACTAAAAAATGCAAAAATTAGCCAAGTGTGGTGGCGGGTGCCTGTAATCCCAGCTACTTGGGAGGCTGAAGCAGGAGAATCACTTGAACCCTGGAGGCAGAGGTTGTGGTGAGCCAAGATCATACCACTGCACTCCAGCCTGGGCAACAAGAGCAAAACTCCGTCTCAAAAAAAAATTAATAAAAAACAATAATAATGTAAGGTCTACTGTGAAAAACCTAAAGAACATTCTTCTACATAAAGATGAGAGCAGGATAGTATTGATAATCATACGTTGTTTATTTTTACCAATATTTCATTTTTTTACAACAACCTCTTGGAATAACCATGAAAAAAAACCAGCTATCTATCTATCATCTATCTATCTATCTATCTATCTATCTATCTATCTATCTATCTATCATCTATCTATAAAGGTGAGGTAGAGAAGTTAACCAGCTTGATTCAGGTCATATAAAGCTTAGAGCATGACATCATGAACTCAAATCCATGTCACACCTACAATATTGTTTTATTGTTTGGGTAACTAAAAGAATATTGGTTGTAGAAAAAGATACATAAACTTCATATTCTATTAAGCAATTTTGCCCATTCAGTTAAGTTATATAAAACCCAATAAATGGAATCACTTTTTCCTGTCTTTTTCTTTTTATTGTCTCTTTAAAAGCTTTAGTTCCTTTTTAAAAATCACACTTGGGTCATTATCAATGCTTTTTGCAAGCATCAGCTCTTTCTGGGTTTTAATTTGATGTAATTCATTAGTCTTTCTGACACACCTTACAGGTTTGCACCACTCTCTGAAACTGCCCTTGATTGAGTAACCTCCTTGTTCACTTTTCTGACTTATTCTTCTAAAACCTGAGCTCTCCAGTGATTTGGGAGATTTACCCTCATTGGTGACTTGAAGTTTCTTCTTCTTATCTTCTTTGCTAGAATAACTTCTTGTTAAACAATCAGAACTCATTGTGTTTCCTCTCTTCTTCCTGAATCCTATTGGCTTTTATACATTTTAGGAGCAGAATTGAACTAAAGAATAAAAACATGTATTTTTCATGGGAAATTTTCTCTTGGTCCTTTTATTGACTTTGAAAATGGAAAGAAAAGAATGAGAAAGAAAAGAAAAGAATAGCAAAGTAAAGAAAAAATTCTTTTTAAAAAGCCCATAGTTAATGATTATGAATCTACTATAAATTTCTTATTAAGTTCTCTTTAAGCTCTACTGTAGATACATGATCCCATTTTGGTTTTTCATATTTGAGTCAATAGACCATAACTTTAAATGTGTAATTTTCCCCAGAGTAGTGGAAAGCTCAATTCCATATTACCAGTATTATTTTGCAATCAGACTTCTAGATTTAAGTTGTACCGGGGTGAAATTATGATGTAAGATTTAGCAAGCAGAAGTGAAGTGCAGGGCACCAACTTTTGTTCCAAATGGAAGGAAGTTTGGAGGTCTAAGTACAATTATTATATTCTGTCTGGATTAATTTCCTATGTCTAGTTACCAGCTTTTAAAATAGAAAGATCACCGTGATTGTAGCAGTAGTTTAATTACCAGGGACCGTGGTACAGCAAACACATCATGTTTCATGCCTACATCTCAGTAATTCCAAATGCAGTGAGCTTGGGATGAATGAATGAAGTGATCAGTGTTCTCTCCTTCTCATCCTGCAGTTATCCTGCCCATTCCTAAGCATCTAATTTCCAATATTCAATTCCTTTGTGTTTAAAATCTTAGTTTCTACGATCTGCCCTGAACACTGGCATTCAATGAGTTTTCAAACTCAGCACTGATTACTACTTATTTCTAGAAACTCTGTTTTGTTATTTTGAAATTCATCGTTTTCCCAAATGTTCTGTTCTTTTCTTAGGAATTCTTTTTATATTGACATACACAGTCATTTTTAAGAGGTATTTTGTTGTATTACCACCTAAAAGAGTTGTATGTATTTTATAGGTAGCATGCTCTTTCATTTCTGCTGCTGTTTTCTCTGGCTTACCTTCTGGGTGTGCTGAGATGGAGAGCAGCGGAGTGGACAGTGACACGCGTCTCTACCGCACCTAATCCTGTTGAATCTCTCCCGCACCTAATCCTGTTGAGTCTCTCCATCAGTGGCACGTCCTTGTGGCCCTCAGGAGGTCACGGGTGAGTTCTGCAGGCCCACTCAGGAGCCTCTCACTGCACAATTCCGTAACTGGTGGGTCTGCTGGGGGCGCCATGGCTCCCAGTTCCTCTCAGCTCCAGCCTCCCCTCTGTGGTTGGAAGCTCACTCACTACAGGCTCCTTCGTTACATGCTGGTTCCAGCAACGTGGTTCAGGTCTCCTGGTTCATGGGAAATCTCTGCTTGGTCATGTGGAAACAGCCCAGGTCACTCCGTGACTGTCCCATGGACATCTTGCTCCAGCTCTGGAGCCTGTCTGCTCACACCGGCACCAGGGGCGAGTCAGCGAAACTGAGAGGCCAGCAGATGTTGACAATGGCAGGAGACCCTGGACTTCTCATTGTGCAGACGTGGTGACTTTTCTGGAATTCCACTTGCGTGTTTTTTTGTTTTGTTTTGTTTTTGAGGCGGAGTCTCGCTATTTTGCCCAGGCCGGACTGCAGTGGCGCGATCTCGGCTCACTGCAAGCTCCGCCTCCCGGGTTCGGCCATTTTCCTTCCTCAGCCTCCCGAGGAGCTGGGACTACAGGCTCCCGCCACCACGCCCGGCTAATTGTTTGTATTTTCAGTAGAGACGGGGTTTCACCGTGTTCGCCAGGATGGTCTCGATCTCCTGACCTCGTGATCCACCCACCTCGGCCTCCCAAAGGGCTGGGATTACAGGCGTGAGCCACCGCGCCCGTGTTTTGAGGAGGAAGGTCAGAGCAAGGCGCCTCCCCGGACAGAAGAAGTGCGAGACGCAGCCCCTCCCGCAGCAGGTGTGCAGCTCTGCCCGGGTTCTCCTTCCCTCTGCTCCGCTGCGCACAGCGGCTGTGGTGGGAGGACGCCCAGGCCACTCTCATGAAACGCTTTAGCACTGTTTAGAATTGTCGTTACAGGATGACTTTTACCCTCTGTTTTGCACTTTATAGTTGTTTTCATAGGGTTCCTCTTCACCGAGTTAGGTGTTTTTTCCATGTAAATCCCATGGGAATTTAGGTAATTTACCTATTTAGAATTTAGAATTTACCTATATGCAAATCAAAGGGCGGGTTATGAGAACCCAGGCAGGTTTTGCATTTTGCATCTGTTTTGTTAGGTGCATTGCCCACTGCTAATTTTTTATATTAATAGGAGTCTTGCCTCACAACGATACATATTTAGAATTCTCCCCTTGAGGGAAGTTCAAGACTGTGATTTTCTTAAAAGCAGTTTACTATTTTTTTATTTATTTTCTCTCAGAGCCTAGGCAGTCAGACACACTTTCTTGTTGGACTCCTGTACTGATATGGAGATGCGTTTTTCCCTGTCACCATTTTGCTGAAAGTATAGCCTTCTATAGTCCTGGGTTAATACAGGTACTGCAGGACAGCCCAGCCCTCAGATTGAGGCTTAGTCCTGAGTGTTCTTGGCTTAGCCCCAAAAAGAATTAAAAGGCGAGGCAATGGTGTTCAACAGGAGCTTTGACTGATGCGGCTGTGCTCAGCCTCAGCGGAGGTCCCACTCCTGGCAGAGCAGGGCTGCCCCACAGGCAGTTTGTCCAGAGAGCAGCTCAGAGGTGGGTCTGCACTCATATTTATGCCCACTTTTACCTATACTCAAATCAAAGGGCGGGCTATGAGAAATGTCTAGGACCCTAGTAGCAGAGTTGTGTCCATGGAAGCGGGTGATAACTTTCCGGTGTTGCCATGGCAATGGTAAACTGACATGGCACCCTGGTGGTGTGTTTTACAGAAAGCTGCTTCATCTGGGACCTGTTCTAGCTAGTCCTCAATTTGGTCCAGTGTCCCAGCCCCACCTCCAGAGTCAAGTCCTGCCTCCTACCTCATAGGGTCTTGGGCTTCAGTTCCAATCCCACCACCACATCTTCAGGAATATCAATATATATGGAGTGGCTCTTCTGTGCCAAGCATAGTTCTCCCTCTGGCCCCAGGGCTCTGTTCTTGTCCCTCAGACAATAAAACACCAGCCCTTGAATTTATATTCCCAGCCATCTACCCTGTCCATCCAGGTAACTTTCCCTCTCAGAGCATCTGCAGCATTTCACCTTTACTTATGAAACATTAGGGATTTCTTCCTTTGTCTTTTGTGTTCATCTGAACATTAAAAATGTTTTATCTGGGGGTATTTAAAAGCTACAGGAAGATTTCAGGTAACTTAGCCTGGCATTTTATGATCCAGAAATCATTATTTCTTTGCAATTACATTCTCATAAGCATATTTTAAATGAAAGATGGGCATCCATGATGTAATTAGCAAATGTTAATGTGATAAATTCTTATTAATTTTGATTTCTAAATTCCGATATAGAGTTAACTCAGAAATTCAAACTCGGAGGTTATTGCTGTTTTTCCATGTGTGAATAAAGATTTTACTCTGAGAATTAATGATATAAACAAGACTATATTAATACACTTACCTAAATAAAGAAAACAACTGTTTGTAGAAGCACTTAGAAAGCTCTATTTATGTAAAAATAGTGGTGTGTTAATTACTTATCATTCTTATCTCTTTATTAAAGCTTGTCTAAAAATTAGGAATTAGGAAAACCTTTTATTTTATCATGTCTTAATTTCATATATGATAATATTACAGATCTTTGAAAAATTATCTAACTCACATGTTCAATGATTCTATTCTCTTCTTCAATTAATCTGAATTTATAGGTTATTATTCTAAGAAAATTAAAATACAAACTCTTAATTATACATATACAGACAAATATATCTATGTATATAAATATATTTTTTACATAAGAAAGATTTTTTTCTCCATCCTAAATTGTATTTAAAAAGAAATATTTTGAATCACAAGCTATGTTCTCCCTAAGGGGCCCTTCCTCCTCCTGACTCTCTCTCTCTCTACCTCCCATCCTTTGTCACCCGTTATCTCCCTAAATTCAGTTGGGAACATTTCAGAAAGCTATTAACTAACTTTTTAAACTTTGATATTATGTAATATTGATTGAGTTAAATAAGATTTATGCAGAACTTTCTATAGGATTTTAGATTCCTGACCCCAGCATTAATTTGAAGTTCCTTATCATTGAAAGAGCCTCGGTATTGATATGGAAATAGGAACGCCGAGTTCCGATGTCTTCTGCCTCCTGCTGTCCTTCTTTCAAAAGCCTGACCATGGCCGCAGTTCTGCTTTGCAAGCAAAGATAAAGTTTGTCCAAGGTCACACGGAAGCATGTGGCCTGGTTTGCACCTTAGCAGTTACAGCTCACTGATTCATTGATAAGGTGAAATATATTATTAGTAAAATAAGAACCAAGACTACCTCTCCCACTCCCACAAACAAAGTATATGATTAGTGTAATATTTTTTAATTTGTTGCAAAAGAGAATTTTAATTTTAGTAGTACCAGTTAATATTTCAATACCTCCATTTTGTGGATGAGAAAAAAAGTTTTGTGAAGTAGAATGATCTCATCAATTTATAGTGATAGAATTCATGGAACTGAGGTCACTGCACTGCTAAATGAATGTTCAATCTTGTTATTCTGGCTCAATGAGTGAATATGTTCAGACATTCACTCCATTCAAGATATGAAAAAAAAAACATACACAAGCATCTCTCTCCTGAAATATTTAAATTCTAGCTAGAATATACTTACATAAAATAACTAATGATATACACCTGTATTTGTTGGAATCTTTGGTGCAAGTATGATTATGGAAGTTTTCAGCAAGAAGATGGGAGTTTTGATATGCTTACATTAACAAGTGATGGGGAAAGGGAAATGGAGCTAGAAATTCAGGAGCTGGAAAACTGAAGTATTAAAAGATGTATCAGCTACTGCACCACAGTGAAGAGCCAGGCTTTAACATTGTTGCAGATTCCAGACACTCAGACTTATGTCCTAGAACATAGAGAGAATTGGCAGCTCATCACTGCAATCCTATTTACTGTTTCTTTATACCGAATGCTTTGCTGCAGTTTTCTGGAATCCAAGCTCTTTCTAATGACAAATTTATACAAATGCTACTGTTGTTAGACACACTGAATAAAAAGAAATGTTTCTAAAATTCTAACCACCACCACCACCACACACACACACACACACAGATAATAATTGAATTGCTGGTTCAGGAAGGCAGATTGAACTATGTTTAAACATAAACCTAACACAAGGAAAAGAAGGTAAGCATCAAACATATGTAGGATGTAAACCAATTTCTGTAGATGAAGATGTTGGTAAAGGATTCTAGACTGAAGCCACGCCTCTCAAAGTATTCATGGAGAAAGAGTACTTTTGTTTTGTTTCAATGTATGTTTTATTTCATTTTTGCTTTACAGTCTCTTGCAGATCAATACTTTTGTACAATATAATAAAATGGAAATAGTGGAAAAATAAAATGACATAAAAACTCAGGAACAGCATTTTTACTATTACATCCAATAGACATAAAATTACTCTGTGAAATTGCTATAGAAAATTCTCAGTTGTTTCCCTGAATATCCGGTCTCATCCCATCCTAGAGCAATAACTCACGGTTTGTGAACCTGTGGACCTTATTTGAGCATCACCGGTTGCAAGTATGTGGAGGAGGAGAAGATGCAAAAAGAGAAATTGTTTACTTGCAGAGACACAGAGCGCCTGGGACTCAGGAATGCCAGGGAAGACAGGGTGTGTGGCTCACAGTGCTCCCAAATGGATAAAACTATAGAAGCCCACCATCCTTTCCTTCCTCGCTTTCAAAATGCCCCCTACACAACCTACGGTTCATCACAGTGACCTGGCAAGCCAAGAAAAAAATGACTTACGATCCCTGCACATTTTCTAGGAAGGCAGGGAGGCTGCTGATACACAGTTCTAAGGGTTCCTTCCAAAATCATTAGCACACCTACTATTTATTATAAGCACATAGCAGCTGGGCATGGGGAGACTCCAACATCCAGAGAAGCTGAGATTTTTTTTCTGTTATTGTTGATTATTCTGGTTGGAGATTTATTAATTTTGTTGATCTTTTCAAAGAATCAGCTTTTGTTTTCATTGATTTTCAATATTATACTTTTTTTCCGTCTTATTTCTGCTCTAATTTGTATATTTGTTTTCTTCTGCTTAATTCAGAGTTGCAGTTCTCTTCTTTCTCTAGTTCCATAGAGTGGATGTTTAGTTTCTTGATTTTAGGCCTTTCTTCTCTTCAAATGTGTGCATTTAATTTCATAAATTTTCCTCTAAGCAGTGCTTTAACTGTATTCCACTAATTTCGATATGTAGTAATTTCATTTTTATGTAGACTGGATATTTCTAGAATTTACCTTGAGATTTTTCATGACCCAAGTATTACTTAGTAGCGTGTTGTTTAGTTTCCTAATATTTAAATATTTTATGTCTATATTTCTGTTACTGATCTCTAGGTTAATTTTATTATGATTTGAGCATATACTTTGTAAGCTTTATATTATTTTAAATTTGTTTAGTTGAGTGCTGTGACTCATAACGTGGTCTATCTATCTTGGTATATGTTCCATGTGAGCTTGGAAGGATGTGTATTATGTTTTGGTGGATGAAATATTCTATAAATGTCAATTAGATAAAGTTAATTTAAGTGAGGTTATTGGTGATAGATTCCTTCAGGTTTTGTTTTTCTGCGAAAAAAAATCATGTTTTATTTTTCAAGGGTAATTTCAATGGACATAAAATTCTAGTTTGAAGGTTTTATTTTCTTTCAATACTTAACTATTTAAACATCTCACATCACTGTATTTTTGTTTGCATGATATCTGATGAAAAGTCCACTATAGTTCTTATCAAAGTTTGTTCTCCATATATGAAACACTTACCAGTTCAGGAATGTACACTGTAGGTGCTGTTCTAAAGCAAAACTATATTATCACTATTCCCTTTAGGATATGAATATTTTATTTGGAAACCATCATGAGATGGCAAGAAAATTGATAAAATTGGTAAGGATATGTCTTCAAATACAGACATAAGTGGAAATCAAATTGACTCAAGACTCTATCTGTCACACGTAATGAAATGTTACAAATGTTGAGAATGTCAAAACCCTCACATGTGAGGCTAGATCAGCTGACCAGGCTGATTTTGCCTTGTCAGATCCTGAGCAGGGAACCCAGTTGAGCCCCTGGGTATCTGAACTCTGAGGCTTAGTAAGTGGCTGCTGCTTTAAGTGGTAAGTGTGTGGTGATGTGTGATGCAGCAATGGACGCAAACACAGTTTGTTGAAACCACATTCCTCCTACTGTTTCCAGTTGTATCAAGGCAAGCTATACCTGGGACAATACACTTCATGCTAACTCACAATTTTGACAAATTGATCTTCTTATATATCAGTATTGGAACATTTTTAATATAATCATGGTAATTTAATTTCATCCAAAATATTAATAGCGTAAAATATCTATTTTTCTGAATTTATAGTTTTGTGATTAAATAATGATTAATTCATATTTTGGGAATTTTGATTTTATAAGTCAGACAGAAGATGGGCAGAATTTGGTCTTCCTACTGACTACCTGTAAAACTTAGTATTTGATAACTAAATTTAATTTGATATTTTAAAATTAAACAACATGATAAAAAGATTAAATAGTTTAATAGGAAACACAGCTTTCTGAAGGTCCTAAATTTATAAGAATAATGTCTTCATGGCACAATTCTTATGCTAATTAAATATGACAATATATCTGCCAAAACATAATGCAAAATATATTTATAATAATACTATTAAAACATACATTTTATGTTGCAATAAACATGAGAGTTTAAGTTGTAATAAATTCAAGAGTCTAAATTGTAATACTTTCAAAAGTAATAACAGTTTTGTTTTTAAGCATTCTATAGTTAAGAGTATTGGCTAATCCAACCTGAAACTCCCTTATTGAATAAACATTGTCAAGCTCATTAGATAATATGCAAAGCAGAACTCAGACTGTTAGATTATGCATTTGATGTCCCTTTAATGTAAATTGGATGGTCACATGCAACTACTTTCATCTATACTGTATGTCAAATATGGTATTCCCTTGAGGTCACATCAGTCAAATAAGTCAAATCATATACCTCAATTAAAATATTTTTTTCAACTTTCATATTATTTTGTGACACTTAATGTTCAATTACAAGGCCTGGCATGGTGGCTCACGCCTGTAATCCCAGCACTTTGGGAGGCCAAGGTGGGTGGATCACAAGGTCAGGAGATCGAGACCATCCTGGTTAACACAGTGAAACCCTGTCTCTACTAAAAATACAAAAAATTAGCCAGGCGTGGTGGTGGGTGCCTGTAGTCCCAGCTACTCGGGAGGCTGAGGCAGGAGAATGGCTTGAACCTGGGAGGTGGAGCTTGCAGTGAGCCGAGATTATGCCACTGCACTCCTGCCTGGGTGAGAATGAGACTCCGTCAAAAAAAAAAAAATATATATATATATATATGTATATATATCTGTATATATATGTGTATATATGTATATATGTGTATATATGTATATATGTATATATGTGTATATATGTATATATGTGTATACATATGTATATATATGTGTATATATATATTCAATTACAAATTTTAAATTATTTATTTTTATAATGTGGAGCCATTTTATACTCCATAATATCTGGAAGTTCCTTGTCAAATGATTTTAAGTGGTGTTGGGAATAATCTAAATTTGAAGCAAAGGCAGTATGTATATAAACATCTATAAAACACTCTGGACCTCCACAGCGCATGCTCTCACACACTCAGAGTAATGAGTTTGGGAATTCTTGCTGTAATATATCAGTGGTGAGATCAGGCTCCTTTCTGCACTGTGACACTGGAAGGTCTATAATAACTATTGAATAAAATACAGAGCTGGTTATTTGGTGTTAATAGGATTCTACTTTTGGGAAACATGCTGGGAGATTTAGAATACGCTACAAAGAAAGGCAGATTGATACAAATTGGATTTAGCTACTAGTTACATATGAATTTATGGGAACAATAAAGCAGGGTTAAGTTATTTTTGACAGGTTTAGAGGATTGAAACAAGGAAGAGCCAAGGCAAAGGCTTATAAAACACTAACTTAGCGGCCCAGGAATCACAAACAGCAGCAGAAAAATGGGAACTTACTAAAGAAAATGGCGGTCTCTTGGGGTATTGCATTTTTCTAAAAGACATCTGAATAAGGAGTTTCGCAAACTGGCATTCCAGGAAAATTAACATTTTACATGAAAGAAACTCTACACACATTTTTACATGAAGGAAACTGTATTTGTTTCACTGTCGTTTTTATTCTTGCTTAATTCACTGACTACATAATTATATTTGATAATCAGTTTTAAAAAGATGCACATATGATTTTGGCATCATCTGAGCAAAACTACATCTTTTAATCTAAATTCTTATGGAAATTGAAGAATTAAGAACTACTAAAAAAGGAAACACATTAACTAAGGGTCTACTCTGCTCTTATCAGTTTGCATAACTTGTCTTAGGGAAACAAGCAAAACTCACATATCATCCTTAGTTTACGGATGCAGAAACTCAAGCTCAGAGAATGAGTGACTCACATAATTACTTATTTTCAGAAAGAGAATTCAAATCCGGTTTGGTCGGCTCACAAATTTCCTGGCTTTTCCACTAGAATGAACAACAAAAAAAAACTTTTTGTGACTTAATTTTGTAAGTTGTTTTCACAAAAATAAAATTAGGAATATAAAGTCATCGTTAAGAAAGTCAATCATTTTTAATTACCACAGACAAAGCCTCGTAAAGGATTCCAGCCTTAGCAGAGAGGCTGACCATCCCATCCTGCTGAAGAGGGCAGGGCATAAGATTACTTTTATGAATGTATCCCCTTGCTTTCATTTGTTTTTTTTTTTTTTTTTTTCTAGATCAAATTTTCTAGCACTGGCAACACAGTCCGGCCTTATAGTTGGCAATTTCTTTGTGACGCCAAGTTCTGGAGTCAAAAATCACTGAACATATAATGCCATCAGACAGAATAAACTAGAGTCACTGCCCAGACTACCTCTAATTCCAGAAAATTCATTTAAAATGTTCTATTGATTGAGTTTATTTTCTAGAGTACACAATTTGCATAAATAACATGCCCGCCCTCTAAGTAGTTTCATCATTCCTTATGGATTAGGAATCAGGAATCAGGATGGAAGTAAATTTCCCAAAGTTCAAACCGTTACTCGGTAATGTTGGGGATTATAGCCAAATGTGTCTCTCTTTTTTTTTTTTTTTTTTTTTAGACTGAGTCTCACTCTGTCGCCCAGGCAGGAGTGCAGCGCTGCGCTATCTCGGCTTACTGCTGGCACGCGATCTCGGCTTATTGCAAACTCAGTCTCCTGCTCAGTCTCCTGGGTTCACACCATTCTCCTGCCTCAGCCTCCCGAGTAGCTGGGACTACAGGTGCCCACCACCACGCCGAGGTAATTTTTTTTTTTTTTTTGTATTTTTAGTAGAGATGGGGTTTCACTGTGTTAGCCAGGATGGTCTCGATCTCCTGACCTCATGATCCACCCACCTCGGCCTCCCAAAGTGCTGGGATTAAAGGCATGAGCCATTGCGCCCGGCCAAATGTGTCTCATTTTCAAAGGGATTTTCCAGTGCTCCGTGCTGTTTCCTAAAGGTCACTCTAAACATTAATCGGTTGTTTTATGTTGGAGCTCTTCAAGTAAATATCGAGAGCCTCTGTATATTCAAACCCATTTCCTGGCACTTTTCCAATGGCCAGTAGGTACCTTAGGCTGCGTGAGAGGATTAATCAATGCTCATCTTCAAACGCTTCAAAACAGCTTGGTGATCTCAAAAAATACAGAACTCTGATAGCTAAATGCATGCTCTATTATTCAATAACTGACAGCCATAGCCACATCTCTGCTTATTTTTTAAAAGCAAGTTGCATGAAAAAGACATTGTTTGAATTCATACAGCACCAAACATTTTAATATTTTGTTTTCCACTTTTTATTATTATTATTATTATACTTTAAGTTTTAGGGTACATGCGCACAATGTGCAGGTTTGTTACATATGTATACATGTACTATGATGGTGTGCTGCACCCATTAACTCCTCATTTAGCATTAGGTAGCATGCATTAAAAAAATGATATTCTCATTTTATGAAAACTGCAAGTAATGGAAATAGCCCATGATATGAAAAGACTACAAACATAAGATCCCACCATATAAATTTTAGATAACAAAAGTTTTTCTGGAAAAGAAATTTGAATAGAATTGTGCCACATCAACTGCATGTGTTAATAATTGGTAAAATCAATATAAAAATAATGTGTATATTGGGAGAATAATTCTTCATTGCTAAGTTTGAATCAAAAATATTCTGACCTGGCCAGGGATGCTGAGACCTGTTTGTAGCTATTTTTTATAATACACCAGAGAAATAGATATTTGCGATTGCTAGCGGTTGCTGGGGAAGAAAGATACCTTTTAGCTCAATGGTGTGAAATTGAATTCTCCATCCACTTCTTTCGCTGTACTAGGGCTATTGGAGTTTGGAAGTGTCTTCCCTATCCAGTGTGTAAATTAAAATAATGCCTTTATTTTTAAGCCACATCACGGTTAATATACATGGTATTTTCTTCCACAGTTAAGGCATTTAGAATCTCCTCTTCCTCTCCCCATTTATTCAAGACGTTGAGCAGCTTAGAAGGTTGACTTCCATGACAGATTCCACAGAGACACTGCCACTGGAGCGCTTCCTTCCAGAGCATTGAGACCACCCAGGGTCTGCTTGTAGCTTGTTTGGCTTAGGATGGCACACTGCACTGGAAGTCACAGCTGTTTTCCTTATGAAACTCTGTGATAGATGATGCGAACGACCCCAATTTCTCACCCTCGCTCCCACTTGCACATTCTTGCTCAGGCCAAGATTTGTGACATTGTATCCAAGGAGCTGTCAGGAGAGATAAAGGAAGTGGAGGCCTTGAAACGCACTGGAGAAATCCTCCTGTCTCTGTTGACCTTTCCCGTGATTCCAAGAATATATTTGGGTTATCAAGGTGGATGACAGAGTCAATTTCTCCACTCTCCCAGCTCTGGCCCTTCTAGACTGGCTCCCAGGCAGCCCCTGACATGCAAAGGTGCAGATGGGTGCACAGAACAACCCGCAACTCACTGCAGGGGCGTCGGTCTCCAGCCAGACCAGCCCCTCACTGGCCCACTCAGCCACCCACAGGCTGTGAGCTCAGACCACCATTCACTTTAGTATGCCTCTGACGCTTTTTGACGGTTGTTGTGAAGAATTACTGTGTGAAGAACCGATGCTCGGTACACTTTGCAGTTTTATTACCACATACGTGACCAATATATTTTTTTCTAACTGTGAATAGTAATCAATTGAATGCTTATAAACACTTTCTGCAAAAGTTAAGAGCTGGGATTAAAATGCTTTAGAAGTAGCATAGTTAATAAAGTGTTGCTTTTTGAAGTGCTCTGTGTGTGTGCACATGTATAAGTGTGTCATTTGCATTGCTAGTTAAGATGAGCTTCTCTTGGTGGGTCACGGTCAAAAAGCTGGAAACAACCAGCTGAACCAGCGGGACTCTATGGATGGACTCTGTTGACCGTGTTGCAGGCAGGTGCTTTTTGGGGTGACAGGATAACATGGGGAGATGGAGAGGCAGGGAAACAAATGAATTGAGGGCCCCTGGAGCTGCAATCACAGGCTCTGCCATGCTGGGTCAGTGGGACCATCTCTGAGTCAGTGGGACCATCTCTGAGCGCAAAGGACAGCAAAACCTTCAGGAATAATGATTCTATAAATTCAAAGCTACATAGTTTATAGGTTTTTCTAATCAGAAAAGACATCTAGGAAATTGGAATGAAAGTGCTCATAAAATGACCTTACTTTTTTTGACAAGTAAATCTAAGGTCGGTCTATTGATAGAAAATAATTAAAAGGCCAATGACACCCAAGAGTGAAATCTGAGTAAGTGTCCCATGTTTTCAGGATATGCATTCAGAATTAGTTTTGATTCCAGAACACAAGACATATGTCCAGGTAACTGAGGAGGGGCAGGCGGCTATGAGTAATTGGCCTAAGCTACTTCATAGACTCTAAATGAAACGTCAGATACAGAACAGTCAGCTTCTACATTACACGTAGATCAGAAATCTGCACGTTGGCGATCACGCTCTGGCAGTTCTTCAACCCAGTAGCCTGAGCTGGGCTATTTCTTACCCATCCTGTGGTCTCTGGTCTCTCACTGCCCATCCTGCTCCAGAGCATGACTGTCAATGGGACATTTTGTCCCTGGTCAGCAGTGTCAAGATCTGAGGAAAGGAAAAGGAGCCAGTGACCGCTATCATATAATTAAATACATTAAACCAAATAAATAGAGCTCAAATCATAATGAAAAGAAAATTCATAGGAGAGGCAAAAGTTGCTTGAAATGTTTGACAAGGCGGTACAATGATCATAACTTACATTAACGTAGTGCTTGAAAGTTTACAGAACCCTTGCGTGTAAAGTAAATAGATGTAAGTGCACAACTGAGTGGAATAACGTGGTGCATGACACTTCTTCTATGTGTGATTTTGTTGCTCTCATTTTACAAGTGAGGCAAATACAGCTGAGATAATTTTATTGCGTTGTGTGATAACTAAGAAGCTGGGATTCCAAATGAGAGTCTCTTTAGTTGCCAATACAGTTGCCACTACAGTGAAAGTCTCTATATGCCTCATACATACTAAATGGTTGTCCTTTTCAAAGACATTGGAACTGATTGATAAACTCTCAGTTCTAGGCATTTCTTTTCTGTAAGGCTAACAAAAAAAAAACACAGGCAAAATATGGCCATTTATGTCTCGACATACGCTGTGAATGGTCTTGTCAAAAAGGAAAGAAAATATTTATGAAAGGTGATTCTTAATAATTGGAAAATGTTAGGTGCATATACATTTAAAACACCCATATGATTTCTATTCATAAAAATGACTAAAACAATTAACTCTGATTAGGTTATAAGCTTTGAGACTTGGCCTTTGAAGCCTGTTGAAAGCTTTCATTTATGCAAAGACTCATTTATCCTATGTTTCCAAATTCAGACTCACTAACATTACCCTGATATATCAATAATCTTTTCCTTCATGAGGCTGTGTAACAAACAGCCAGGAATCTTCAGTGCTAAACAACATCAAGCATGAATTGTGCTTGCGTCTGGGGACAGCGGCTGGGGGAGCCCTGCTGAATGTGTGGAGTTCCCTCACCGGCCAGAGTGTCAGCTGGCTGTTGGCCCATTGAGGAGGGCATTCCCTAGGAGACCATGTGGATGCTCGCACCTGTCATTCTCCAAGGCTGGGCATTTTCCCGTAGTGATGGCAGGACAGGGTGCGAGAGAGAGCAAGTGAAACACCAAGGCCCCCAGCCAAGGCTTGGACCGGCTCACTGCTATTTATATCACATTCATCATCCAACGACAGACAGGGTGAGCCAGTTTCAAAGAACTGGAAAACAGAATCCACATCCTCAGAGGAAATGTGGGGTTATCTGGCATTGTGGTTCCACGTTAGGGTAAGGAATGAGGTCTTCAGTGTCGTCGTCCACTCCTGTGATATCGGAATGGGAAGAGCATTCTGCTCGCACTGTGGCCCATGTAGACCCAAAGGTGGGGCCCTACATTTCCTTTAAGCATAACATTTTAAAAAAAGGAAATAAATTGTGAGGGTTAAACACGATTCAATTCCCAGATTTCATAGTTAAAATGGTACACTTAGTCTATTTTCTGATTATGAAAACTATACATATTCATTATAAAATATTTGGGAAAATGTTTAGTTTCTAAAGATCCTAAAGGGTATGGTTAGGAATATAAACAAAAGATACACTAAAAAATGTTCTATGCATGATTAAAGAGTAATCTAAGAATTTTAAGTTGTACATTAAAGTTAATATTTAGAAGAGATAGATTATTTGCCTAAATTCTGACAAATATTCCTTAAAATATACAAATATGCAATCTGACAACTCATTTGCCATAAGAAGTCTGAATGTACATATATGCTATGGTTAAAACTTCTATGGGGAAATCAGATCATGGAATTATGTGGGAAGTTAAAAGTGTTTCCTACAATCAACCATTCTGCTACAAGTGTAGTCCGTTCTTTGATGGAGATCACAATCATATAATTTAGTAACACAGTTGGCAGTGCCGAGTTTCATAATTTACTTATGAAAAGGAATAGTGCCTACAAAAAGGAACCAGAAAAATAACCTGATACTATTCTTGGCATAGCTTTTTCAATAGGTAGAAACATTTTTAGAAAGGTGGCATGAGATTAGTACATTCATAATATAGAACAAGCTACAGAACATCATGAAGATTTTGGGCTTTGTTGTTGCCATTTTTTTTTTCAATTTCGATAAGGCTACATTTGACGCCGTATCATGATGATTACAATACTGGCTCTGATAATACCTGGTGATTTTAAAGGATTTTTTTAAGCCCATTTTGAGCCTTCCTGTTTATTGTTTCTTCTTCATTGGAGGAAGATATTAAATATGTGAAACACATCTGCAAATGGTACTTGAAAAATGAAATGAAATGCCTTTGTGCTTCTTGCAGCCCATTCTACAATTTATTTTAACTTCACAGTTAAAAAGTGTATATTTTTTATTTTCTACCTATCTAGTTATAGCCTAATTGAAAAAAAAAGATGAAAACCTGATTGTTTACTAAGTTTACAGAAAATGTAAATGAACTGATTTCTTTGGACAGAAAAAGAAACACATTCAGTAGACAAACTTTAGGTGAATGGAAATTAGTCCTGATCTATTTTGACATAGCTCTTTATTTTTCATGTGTAACGCAGCTTGCCTTCATGGGCAGGAAGGTGGATGGGGAAGCCGCACGTGCCTGGCGTAGTGTAGATCTAATAGCGGTCGTGTTACGAAGATTAAATGAGTTAATGTTTGGAAACCTGTTGGGACAGAGCTGGCAAACGGTGAATGTGTTGCATGCATCAACTGTGATGATGCATTCCAGTGTAAATAAAGGATTGAAGATGATTTTTAATACATATATTAAGACTCTGGTTTTCAGGTTAATATTTTATCAGTTATATTCTTTACCGTGGGGTTTTATTCCTACAAAATGATGTTGGCCTTTTTATAATTTTGGGGCCCTTGGGGTTGAATTAAGATCCTTCATTGGTAGCTGGAATAGACTAGTTGCTTCAATGTTGCTATTTCTCAAGCTTCCCTAGCTATGTTGTTGGCCACGTGACCTTGTGGTCCCTCAAATTAAACCGTCACAGTCTCCTCTTTGTTCTAGAATTTGGCCCCGTAAAATGGCTTGCTTTGGCCGAGACCACCCAGCAGAGTGGAGATGTCCCCATTCCAGATCTGGGCCTCTGGAGGCTGTGCATTTGCCTTAGGATCTGTAATTGGCTGGCGACGGTTGCCCACACCTGCAATCCCAGCACTTTGGGAGGCCAAGTTGGGCAGATCACTTGGGTAGATCAGTCTCCTCTGCCATTTCCCAGTAGCCTGAGAAGGCCTTCTGGAGCAGAAGAGATGAGAAGAATGGAAAAGGACTTGGCTGCCCATCTTTAAGGTCAGTCTAGGTCAAAAGCCAGCCCAACCTAGACATGTAAGTGAGCCCAGCCCAGACCAGGAGGACCACTCAACCTTGCCAGTCACTGACCCTCCAACTCATGCACTAAGTAAAGGCTTATTGTTTAAGACCACTGAATCTTGGGATGGTTTGCAGTGAAGCATCATCAAGGCAAATGTGGAGCTAAAAACAGTAGCACAATAAAGAGTAAATATATTTATAACAACCAGTGGTCCTGATGTAAAATGTTATTAGCATTGTTTAGTTAAGGACTTAGAAATGAGAACATACTAGTATATAAGAAGCATGCATAGTGCTTTATGCAGATAAGTTAAAAAACAGACAAGTCTAGACAGGTGTTATAAGCATTCAGGAAGTCAAACCTGACTTTCTCTGTGTGATTAGGTAAGAAGATTTAACAAACGATTAAGCAGGAAGATGTGCATGGGTAGGAATTTATGAAGCACATTAAATTGCTTTATTCTCTTTTGATATTTTAGAGCATCATATTCTCAGGAGAAGTGCTACAAGTTCCCTTTTAGGAATGCATATGAGATCTGCTTTGTCAAGATTCAAGGATGAAAAGAGAAGAAGAAAAAAGTATCATAGTCGATTTTTCTAAAATTTTTCATAGTTCATTTATTCATTCCAAGATAGGAAAAAAAGAAAAATGAAAAAGAGCAAAAGACTAATGACTTCTTAGCCCCGCATTTTCCACTTGATTGATAAACCAAATTTTCTATTTGAGTTAATTCTGCAAAATGTTAACTCAATAATACTGCAGCCTGATTTAGATAAGACTAGTCATTCAAGGAAAGTCCAGCCAACTGACCATTTCTTCTAGTGAATCTCCCATTATTTGGATTCTAATCTTTTAGAAACCCCATTCTGAAGTAGAATTTATGCTTCTCGATGAACCAGCCAGTCAGTGAGATTCACTTTTGTTTTTTAGGCTAGGGAAGAATTTCTTACCTATAAGTGCCACTTGCTGACAGGCAACATTAATTAAGATAAGCATGAATTAAAGGCAATTAAATGTTGTCTGACCAGCTGTATTACAGAACAAGCCAGTGAAGTATTTTATTTATTTAGTAGAAATTCAGAATCCATATCATTTCCTTCTGCTCATGTAACTGTAAATCTTAGAGAGGAGGGTAGAATGATCTTCCTGTCCTGATACTGTCTGCAGATGAGCTCCATGTAGCCTGCATAGCCCTAATCATAATACGAGCCTTTGACACCAATGAAAGGTGGAGGACCCAGGAACCTCCCCTTGTGTAAGTTTTCAACACCAAGTGGTAGCAAACTCACTTTTTCCAATTGTAAATTAAGTAAGCATCTTTTAATTAAAGTTTCACACCTTACGCTAAGGGAATTGTTGTATTTTATTAATGTTTCTGAAGTTACAACCCTTCATTGAGAAACTCAGATGTGAGTACGTCAGATAAATCCTATTTCACATGGGAAACATAAAAAAGGATAACACTCTGGCCCCGGCAAGAATCAAGAAAACTAATTTTTAAAATGATACAATTACAGGATTTGTTTTTGCTTTTGAGATGGAGTGTCTGTCATCCAGGTTGGAGTGCAGTGATGCGATCTTGGCTCACTGCAACCTCTGTCTCCCAGGTTCAAGTGATTCTCCACCCTCAACCTCTTGAGTAGCTGGGACTACAGGTGTGTGTGTACCACAACACCAGCTAATTTTTTATATTTTTAGTAGAGATGGGGTTTCACCATGTTGGCCAGGCTGGTCTTGAACTCCTGACCTCAAGTGATCTGCCCAACTTGGCCTCCCAAAGTGCTGGGATTACAGGCGTGAGCAACCGTCCCCAGCCAACTACAGGATTTTTATAATTGATATCCTGATACAAAATGACCTATTAATCTGCTATTTATGGTGTTGGTATTAAGGTTCATGGTTGAAGAAAGGAAGTCTGAAAATGCTAAAAATCAATGAGGAGTTGGCTGATAGTTCATTACCCGATTTCTTCTTTCCTAAGTGGCAGCTATAGCAACAATGCCCAACTCCTGGGCCTTCCTTTTCCTATCTTTTTTGCTATACCACTCATGTATTGGTCAAAGTGGTTTATTACAATACCATGTTCATCTAAGCGTGGGGCACTAGGACGTTTGTCCACCTGCACATTTATGATTTGGCCAAGGGTTTTCCAGCACTTTTCTATATTATAGTATTAAGAGCAAATGTTTTACTTAGATTCGGGATTAATTGTTTGAACACAAAAGGATTCATAGGCAAGGCTATGAGCTTTCCCTTTCATCACATTATTTGCCATGGTTTCTGATTGTCCCACTTTACTGATACCAAAGTTAAATCAGTGTGCTCAGCCTCATATTCCTAGTGGAAAGTTTCACATCAAAGTTTTGATTAATGGTGATGCTCAAATAAGGTCCACAGGTTCACAAAGTTTTGATTAATGGTTTTAGCAGCTGTTTTTGATAGTTTCTTTTAAAAAAGATTTCATCGGGGATTGTAAAATTGTGATGTTCTAATACTGTTGGTCCTTCTATAATTAATTGGAATTTGTCTATAATGAAGGATTTCTTTCCCATCAACTATTTGAATGCACTAAAGTAATAGCTCAGAGAAGGCCGGATACCTACTAGCTTTTCTCTCTATTTGTCAACTGTAAGAATAACGATTCAGTACCCTTGGGTCCACCACAACATCTTATACCTCATATAAACTAAAAATGCATGTGCAAAATTATATTAAATTTTTATTTTTTGCTAAATTGTTTGCTAAGCCTCTTAAGCATTTTTTGAATTTCTTCTATCTTCTTCCTACTTAATGATTTCATTTTCACATGAATGAGTATATTCAAGATTTTTCTATGTGATTATATTTTATAAAGAACCAGACTTTTCTGTTATTTTCTTACAACTTTAACTTTACATTTTCTAATATATTAATTATTTGTTTTTAAAATTTTATTTTCCTTTTTTCTTATGCAACTTTTACATAAACTTTTTAATTTTAGAACAATTTTTAAGAAAAAAAAACCCAGTAGATTCCTATATACCCCACGTTCTCTTTTCTTGCATTAGTACGATAATTCTTTACATCAGTATGGTACTTTTGATATAAATAATAAATCAATACTGACATGTTATTGTTAACTAAAGTGCATACTGCATTGAGATTACTTTGTTGCACACCTAAGGGCCTTTTTCTACTCCAGGATCCTGTCTATAACTGTGATGCTGTCTTAGGCTCACCTTGTCTGAGACAGATTCTCAAACTTGTCTTTGGTGACTGTGTCATATTTGCGGAGTACCGTCCAGGTGTTTAATACACTCTCCCTCACCTGGTGTTCGTCTGCTGTTTTTCTTATACTAGATTGGGGTTGGAGAGAAAAACTAGAGGGTTAAAATACCATTTTTTTAACTCATATCAACAGTACAGACTATAAATATTGTGTTTTGCTTCACTTGTTTTTCTGTTGCTGTTCTTTGTTTTGAGAACTTCCTTATTTTCTGGCACTACAAGATGCTCTGGAATTATCTTATATTTTTTCTGCTTCAGTCCTAGAATCTACCATTTCTTGAAAGTGTGCTGGTTCATTTTGTTGGAGAATGGTCTTAGAAACCAAGATGGGTGTTAAGTGTGTTTGCTGCTACTGGGGTATTGTTGCCACTGGGTGCTTTGGTTTTTATTTAACATATTTTTGAACTTAAGAAATATGAGGTGAAGGCTTAGATTGTTTTTATTGCATAAAAATATTTGAAGCTAGAACATATTTCAATGAGTTTCCTATTGCTGTGTAACAAATTAGCGTAACCTTACATCTTAAAACAGCATAAACTTTATTGTCTTACCGTTTTAGAGCTCAGAAGTCCTAAATAGGTATCACTGGGATGAAATCAGAGTATCAGCAAGGCTGTGTTCCTCCTGCAGGTGATAGGCAAGAATCTGTTGACATGCATTTTCCAGCTTCTGTTAGGTTGGTGCAAAAGTAATTGAGCTTCTTGATGCATTAAAATGGCAAGAAGTGCAATCGCTTTTGTACCAATCTGATAGAAGTCACCTGTATTCGTGGACTTGCAGCCTCTTTTCCAATCTTCAAAGCCAGCCATGTCTGTTCAAGTCCTTCTCAAGATCCCATCTCTCTGGTTCTGTCTTTTGGTTTTCTCTTCCACTTTAAGGACCCTGTTCCTGACATTAGGCCCACCTGGATGATACAGAACTATTTCCCCTTCTTACTGTCAGAGGCTTAACAAACAGTTTCATCTGCAACCCGGATTTCCGTTTGCCACGTTTCCTAACCTAGGAGTAGGTTTTAAGAATTCTTTCGATAAACATATTTTAGGTAGCCATAACATGCCTGCCATAACTATGTTGGGTATATATTGATATATAGAGATTTTTTTCATTGTTTTTCAAATACTTTGATATTATTTTTCTGATTTCTTTGACCAAACAATTATTTTGGATCTTTTTAAAAACTTGCTTGTATTTGTAGAAAACTCTCTTATTAAAGAGCTGCAATTAATTTCCAGATTTATTAAAATATGATCAGCAAAAATTGATTTTTCAGTTTGTGAACATTTGGATTGATTTTATTAGAGCCTAGTACAGAATGAATTATTGGTGGTTGCCTAAACATACTTTCTACCTAGGAACAACTTTTAATAGCTTTAAAAATATTTTTATTGTTTATTCGTATTACTCCTGTTTTGCCTGCGTGATGATTATTTGTGTGGATATCCAGGGAACTCACATGAAGCTTAGGATAAGCTCAAAATAACTGTGCCAGAAGAAAGATAAGGCAGGCATCAGTGAGCAACTCTGCTGCTACGCTAAATCCCTGATTTTAGGTTTGTGGATTGCGACAAAATGCAGTTATGTTATTATTATATTAACAAGCTCATAAAAGTTTTGGTGTTACCTTTAAATAATATGCCTTGTATGATGAATTTGATACTGAATAGAGAAATAACTGACTTGAGGGGCAAATGCATCTCATTCGGGATTGAGAGAGCTGCTGTATGCCTATGTGCTTATTTTCAGTGGCATAACATCAGCAGTATTTTCCTTAAACGTGCCTACTCCTACCAAAGCTCAGAGACAGAATAATACAAGAAATGTTGTTTCTAAAAATTGGCATTAATATTTATGATAAATAATTAGTCAAAGTTAGTACTTTTTTTTTTTTTTTTGAGATGGAGTCTTGCTCTGTCGCCCAGGCTGGAGTGCAGTGGCATGCTTTTGGTTCACTGTAACCTCCACCTGCCGGGTTCAAGCAATTCTCCCACCTCAGCCTCCTAAGAAGCTGAGACTACAGGTGCACACCACCACATCCAGCTAATTTTTATATTTTTAGTAGAAACGGGGTTTCACCATGTTGACCAGGCTGATCTCAAACTCCTGACCTCAGGTGATCCTCCTGCCTTGCCCACCCAAAGTGCTGGGATTATGGACGTGAGCCACCACTCCCAGACCAGTACATTTTTATAAATGTACTTAAAGGAAAAATCTCTTTTGATTCTAATTTTATTTCACAGACATTGATATTAGAGGTTATTTTATTATTTTGTTGGCATTCCTGTCTTTTGGGACATATTTCTATTTTTGGAAATAAAAAAGGAATACAGTTAATGGAGTTACAGCTTCAAGTTAATAAAGTTTCCGGAGAACTGAAATATACTCATATTTATAATTTACACAGATAATATGTGACTAAAATACTAAAGCACATATGCTAAATGTTTTTTTCTATGTCGTTGATTGCCTTTTAAAAAGTTAGGACTGTTTACCTTAATTACCTTGGCATTTTTTTGTTAACTAAATACACACAGAAATAAAAAATAGGGCCAAAGGAAGAAACAGAATAAGAGAGAAGGAAAGAGGCTTAGTTCAGACATCTTATTTCACTGAAAGCAGTTGCTGCTGTTTCATATGATAATATCCATCAACTTCTATAACATTTTTTTGCCAAAAAGTCTTGATGAAAGTTGAGTTTACTTTCATCTTAGGGTATAAAGTCTGTGTGGCATATTTGTTTTTTAAAAAACTACTGAAAAGTATCCCTGTTTTTTTTTTTTTTAACTAATATTAGAGGCTAAATACTCATGTTATTATTCTCACTCAAACCTTAGCACAGACCCCCACACGTGTGCACACACACCCCACTGTTAATGATTTCTGGCCATGTTCTTTCACTTCCCTGTATACATAACCAATAAACAGAATGCAAAGTGCACCTTTTTGTTAAATTATGAGCCTGGGCTAATTTGATTGAAAAATGGTCAATTTCCTATATAACTTAATTTTGTTTAAGTAAGGATATTATTTCATAAAAATCAGTGACTAGTAAGGCTTAAACTCTGGAAAGGGTTAAAATATTCAGGGAAAAAAATAATTGACATTTTATTTGAAGAGAAAAAATTAAACAGTTTACATTAATATGCTCATGTGTTTTTAGTGAATCAACATTCAAATATTAAAACAAGAACTCTCAAAATTTCTCATAATACACATTCATTGCTATCACTCTAACAAAACATTTGGCAGATGGATGAATATATAATTTCATGATTTTTTTCAAATTAAACATTATTGGGCAACTAATCATCTCTAACTTCAGCATAATTTTAAATTATTGCTATTTATTGAAGAGTTCTGAATTTTCTCTTATTTTATATATAGCTTCATATAGTGAAAAATAAGTTCAACCTGTTGAAAAGAAAGAAATAAAATTGTCTTTGCTCACAGATGAAATGACTAAGTAGAAAATCCGAAAGAATTGACAAAAATCTTCTGAAACTAAATAAGCAATTATAACAAGGTTGCAGGATACAAGGTTAAAGTACAAGTCAATCCTTTTTATCAGCAATGAACAAGTGAAATTTGAAATAAAAAAAGCACTAATACTTAATTAACACCCCTCCAAAATGAAATATTTATGTATAAATCTATCAAAATATGTACAAGATCTATGTTAGGAAAACTACAAAACTCAGATGAAATATATTAAAGAAGAACTAAATAAATGGAACGATATTCCATGTTCATGGATAGGATGACTCAATGTTGTCAAGATGTCAGTTTTTCCCAACTTAATATATAGATTCATCACAATCCCAAACAAAATCTCAGCAAGTTATTTTGTAGATATTACCAAACTCATTCTAAATATTACAGAGAGAGTGGTAAAAGACCCAGAATAGCCAGGACATCACTGAAAGAGAACAAAGTTGAAAGCTAACACTATCTGACTTCAAGGCTTACTAAAAGGCTCTGATAATCAAGACAGTGTGGCATTGGTAAATAACAGAAAAAGAGATAATTAAAACAGAATATAGTGCAGAAACAAGTAGAAACTCAACCAACCAAATAAATAAAACAATGAAATTCAAGACATTGGTGTCTGGCAAGGAAGGACAGTAATTCTTGAGATACTAGAAATAAACTAGCTGGCCCAGGAAGAGCACAACATCTCCCAGCCAGGAGAGAAATGACCTGGGAATCCAGAGAAGCCACAGAACCCAGAGTTTGCAGGGCAATGTACTGAGGAGGAGAGTTCTGCAGAGAGAGAATGACTTACATCTAAAGGGGACCCACTTTGAGCTGAGTGCCAATCATACACGCATATGAGAAGATACCAGACTCCAGAGAAAGAACTTGGGAGGCTAAGGCAGACTTGTTCACTCTCAACGACATGTTTAGCCTCTTACACCCTAATCTCCTAAAAAATACTTAATAAAATCACAGGTAAGAAATGATGCCTAACTCATTTAGCCAAGATTTTAAGATGAATTAATCATTACTTAAGAAATTTGATATTTGAAATTAGCATTATGTTGATACATGGCATTAAAAAAGCTCTGATTGGCCTTTAATTTACATCAAAAGTTAGCTTTTCTTTTGCAATATGTTAGTGTAAATTTAATAAGAAGTCACCAAACATGACTTTTACCTCAGTGAATTAATAAACATATATAATTTCTTTCTTTGAGGATGATATTTTGTGCAGTGTTACTGGTACTTATGAAATCATGAAATACTTCTCTAAGTTTTTCATTTTATTTGCAACATCATAATTATCCATTTCTATTAATCTATACATTTGTGAGGGAAGAAAGGCAAAAACTTCTATAGAATATTATTTTCCTCAAGCTTCAAACAAAATTCCTATAAGAAAAAATAATAAAAGACATTACATCCAACACAGTATTAGTGTACTTAAGAGGCAGGCCTGCCAATAAACATTAGCTGGTTAAATAAACACACTAAACAGCCACAATTTTGTCATTACAAAGATATATCGAACAGCATTGCCCTTTAGGGGTTATAGAGAATAGAACTGAACTACTAAAAATGGAAATTTATTCTTCAACATATTGCTGCTTAAATGGGGAGTATTTTGATGTCTCTAAGGCTTTTCTGGATAATTGTATCAGTTTATGACTCTAATAATTCAAGGCCACAGAATAGCTTTAGAGTAAGTTAGAGTATGTCATCTTTCCTATGATTACCACATCTTTATGTCATGCAGGTTGTTGTCCCTTGATCTAATAAAAATCATGTCACATTATTTAGTAGCGTTTTCTATTATTTGGTGGCATCTGCTAACAAATACATAATAAAGTAATGTACAAATAAAGTTCAATAATAAAGTCACCATAAATTGTTATGCAATTTTCTTTACTGACATTTTTTTAATACAAGCATATTGATAAAGGATTTCTTGGCACTTCTCTGGTCTCTTGTGTATTAAATGGCTAGCACGTGTTTAATTAAATGTGCCCAGGGCTATGAAAGCAAGATTGCTATAACAGCAACACATTCATGACAAAATCAAAAGATGGCAGCATTCACACCAGAGGCGGCAATACTGAGCCCTGTTAATTTTCTTTATCCTTAGGTTGAAACATTTATTTAGGTCAAGAGAAGCATATGATTTTATGTATATCATTTAATAATTTAAAAAATTGATTATAACTTAAATTTCTTTTATACCTATGTCTTTATTCAAATGACTTTCCGTTTTGGAGCTTCTCTGAATGTCATAGAGATTCTGTGGTGAAGATTATTTTGTTTAGCAAGCATGTCTGATATTCTTTTATGTTTTTAAAATCGTAATGGAAATACACTATGTCTAATTTGATCTTCCTATTATTTAGTTACAAATAATACTATTTGTAGCATTAATTATCATGCCTTCAATGACTGCATTACTAATTATACCCAATGACTTGTAGGTTTTGTAGCTATGAGAACTTAAAATTCTATGTGCAGATTCTAGGAAAAATAATTTTAAGAAGACTGGAGAAGTACTAGTCTCCGTTTAACCAGACATAACTTTTAAAAAACTTAAAATACATTTCATGCTTTTAGCTGATTTTTGAATGTGAGAGTTAATTCTCTTTGATATCCGTAAAGTTTAAGAACTCCTAGTTCACAGGAAGATCTAGAAAATTATTCTTGAGCAAAGACAGACGATGTCAGCATCATATACACAGAACATTCCCTTCAGAGCAAAATGAGGGGGCTGTTACTTATCTATAATTGTCATAGAGATATGCAAAATATTAATAAAACTTCTCATATGTAATTAGCTCAATCCCTATCCATCTGGCTTCTCCTCGTTTCTCTCTCAGCCCAGCACGACCATAGCATTCAAATAAGCAAATCCTGTTGCTGCCCCATTTCTCTGGATGAAATGGCTTCAATGAAGCCTGGCATGGAGGCCCTTCTGAAATGACAAGTGGCTCCACAGGGCTGATCAGCTTGAGGGCAGCATGCCGTGGGAGGCGGTCAGTGCATCCAGCCTCAATGGCATTGGACTCCACTAATGGTCTCTAAGGTCCTCTCAGGAAGAGCACACATTCCTGACTATTCAGACCTAGGTCATGGGAATGAGCCATCAGGCCAAATCATTCCCACTGGGCTCACTTCCCTCTCCATACGAGCCACTGCCTCACCATCCACTCTTCATATATGAGTGGGAACCACTGTGGGCCTGTCCAGGTGTTCACAGGTGGCCCAGGTACAATGCAGGGAGCCCCAGACAGGGATGCATTGGCAAGGATTGGCAAGGAGCCCAGGCAGAAACTGTGAGAACAGAAATCTGGGCAAATCCACATAGACAGCAGCATCTGAATCAGTGCCAGAAAAGTGGACATACATTTCTTCCCAGCTCAGCAGGCATCCTGCTGTCCATGATCATGGTATATGATCCGAATTCTTCAACACCGCCAATCCAGTGAGTGTGGAATGCAATTTCTATCTGATCTCCCTTTGCACACACCCCATTGCTGCCTACATGGTGCCTTTAACAGGATAATAGATAGCTGGGCTTCTTCGTTTCCTGTAAAAATTTGGTCATCATTTTTTGTCCATTTGTCAGTGAACTCTTTTGCATGTCATCTTTCAGTCTGTCATTTGTCTTTTCATTTTTGATGGCATTTATTTGTTAATAAATAGTAGTTCATTTATTCTTTAATTAACAAATGTTATTGACTACTTGCTACGTCCCCTCACTATACTAAGTGTCTACCACTTAGTAAATGCATTACACTAAACAGTCAAAAGCCTATGCTCTTAAAGAACTTACATTCTTTTGAGTCTATACCAACAATAAAAAGACAGAGAAGTGGCCAGATATGGTGGCTCACACCTGTAATCCCAGCACTTTGGGAGGCCGAGGCAGGCGGATCACCTGAGGTCAGGAGTTTGAGACCAGCCTGGCCAATATGGCGAAACCCCATCTCTACTGAAAAAAAATACAAAAAAATTAGCCAAGCATGGTGGTAAGCACCTGTAATCCCAGCTACTCAAGAGGCTGAGGCAGGAGAATCGCTGGTGTTTGTCAAGGAGTGGTCAAATTCTGGATATGTTTCCAAGGTAAAGACCACAGCTTTTGCTGAAAGAGATTGGATGCACTACTATATAAGATCAATAAAAAAAATCAAAGATGAGGCTGGATTTGGGTCCCAATTTATTTTTTGTAATTGAGAATTTAACATTCTGAAGTTCTATGCAGAGAGATGTCTTAATCTATGGCTTATTTTAATGGCTGTATCTCACTGATGATGGCTTTGTGTGCGTGTGCTTGTTGACTCTCCAGCTCTTATTTGTTTCTTTTCCATCTGTGCTAATCCAGCACATCTAAATTGAAGAGTCTCCTTCAGAGATAATGTGCGATTCCTAATGTGGGAAGCCAAGGGTGGTCATGAATTGAGACCATGGCCGTCCATGTGCTGAATGCCTACATGTGCCCGTCCCAGCACCCTCTCCATTCTCTCACCAGGGGAATTGCTATGGCAACCTGCTTTTTGCCTTTGTCACCTAGCAACACCTCATCCCGGCTTCCTGACTGCACTCTTGGATTCTGTGCCCAAGGTGTCTTCGACACTAAGGTTTGGGGCTCATCCATGTTCAACTTGAAAGGGTGTGGGATGTAACATCTCATGATCAAACCTTGACCCTTGGGAGCTAGGATCCACCGGATGAATTCATTTCTCTTCCATCCTTTGGGCAGAAGATTTTGATCCACCATTTATCAGCACCTTAATGGGCCCTAGATGATTAGCATTCAGTTCCTGATCGTGGTGGCCATTTCAATAACATTATTTACCTAATATTTCCTGTTTCTGGAATTTTTTCTTAAATTATACCATTTGAATGAAAACCTTTGTTTTACCCCTGCTTTCTGGAAGGTACTTCAGCTAAAAGATTTCACCTCCAGTTTCCTAGACATAATGTGGGAATGTCAGACTCAGCTCTTCCATGCATGCTCAAAGACCTAGTCTATTGATCATGTTGATTACGTTGGCATTGGCCTTCAGTGCAGTGCCACCTGTTGGGTTTGGTTGCTATTTTGTGGCCTCCACTCTTGTTTTGATCATTAGCTTCTTTATTCATTTTTGTAGGTAGAAATTTTCAGAGATTACATTTCTTGTGAGTTTACCAATATATTGATAAAGTATGTTTTATTGATAATCAATTAGTGTTATGGTGGGAATATCTTCTAAATTATCTAGTCTACCATACTAGTTGTATGTCTTTAGTGAGCGATTAAATCTTTGTGCTTTAATTTACTCAACTGTAAAATAAAGGCATTAATTACATTCACTTCCTGGTACTAGTTTGAGAATTAATTGTGTTTGTATATGTAAAGCCCTTAAACGGTGATTGACATATAGTAAGAAATAAATAAGTATGAGCTATCCTTGTTGTCATTCTTATTATTGTTAAGCATTGATGGAATGAATGATGGGTATGGAGTAGACTTCATATTTGCAGTGATCAAAGATTTTCAGTGGAAGTGTTGTTAAGAAGTTTAATAGCAGCAGGAAGAAAAGGGAATGATAAAAAATGTGTTAAAAGATACAAGTAAAGTCATGCAAAATGCTGCTCCTTTAAATATATGTAAAGATAGTTATAGTAACTGAATGAATTTAAGTAAGACAAACAAAGAATTAAAACAAAAAAATAGAAGGTGCATTTGAAAGCAAACTATTATTTAGAGGTTCTTGGCAGTTTTTGGAAACATTTGATCTGGTATACATTAGGCTATCAAATAATCTCTTAAAAAACTTTTAAGTTCAGAGGTACATGTGCAGATTTATTACATAGGTAAACATGGGTCATGGGGGTTCGTAGTACAGATTATTTCATCACCCAGGTATTAAGCCTAAGAAGTTATTTTTCCTAAACTTCTCCCTCCTTCCACCTTGCACTCTCCAATAGGCCACAGTGTGTGTGAAGCTGTGCTAAACACTAGCTCTGAACATTTCCAGGAAGAAATTTCCCAGGGGAAGATGTCTAAGCTTTCCTTTGGTAAGGATGGTGACAGCAGCTCCTGGAGGGCAAGAGTCTTTTTTTTGTCCACGGTATAACTCCAACACTAGGAGCAGTGCTGGGCCCAGAGCAGGTGTGCACGGGTGATGTTGAATCAATGAGTAAACTAAAGAGGAAATGCCATGACTTTGTGAGTGCCCTGAAATTTATGTATTGGTTTACTTGAACCAATGAGTACTGTGCTAATCCACCAGTGTATTGATATTCGGTCTCTTAAGGAACTCCCCAACACTGTCTCTCACTCTCTCTGTTTCTCTCTCTGACTTTCTCTCTGCCCCACTCTCTGCCCCCTCTTTATCTTTGTTCCTCTCTCTCTCTTCCTCTCTCTTTCTCTCTCTCCCTGTCTCTTCATTTCTCTCTTTCTCTCTCCCTGTTTTTCTCTCTCTCTGCCTCTCTTTCTTTCTCTCTCTTTCTCTGTCTCTGTCTTTCTTTCCCTTTCTCTGTTTCTGTCTCTGTCTCTCTGTCTTCCTCTGGGTTTGTGAGCCATTCATTACCACACAGCAGACATTGCTCCTCCGATCTCATTCTGTCTGGTCACTTCAGAAAGTTTCAGCACAATTCTGAGCCATCTGATCAAAGGACAGGGGGCTAGTCGATCAAATTACTTCTAATTTTATTCAGTCTTGCTTCTTACGCATCGAGAGGCACTTTAGACAGAAATCTGAGTTATCACTGGATATTTAATTTCCTCCTGCCTACTGGTTGTGAATTATAGTGTTTGGTTTATTTCAGATCAAATGGGAAACCTTGTTCCACTGATTGAATTCAAGATTTTTACATTTTCATTTAACATAAAACTCTGATCAAGTATTAAGTTAGTAAAAATGTATGTCAGGTGCTTTTTTTAATTGTGCAGTCAAAATAATTTTCCTGATGATTTCATTTGCAACAACTTATTTGCTATTCCGCAGACTCTCCCTGTGTTTGGGCATGACAGGAATAGAGACGGCTGTAAGTCACAGAAGAGCCAGGAAAGTCGTCTTCAACCTTAGCATTTTCCACACAGAGGGCAAGTCCATAATCAAAATCCCCTGCCGCCCTAATGGATTCATTCTTATCAAATTTGCAGATAAACTTTATGACCACAACTTTCTGCTTATCTCTTCCATTGTAATTCTTTGTGCTATATTTATGAGTGACATTTGAATAGCTAAGGATTTTCTTTGAAATTATTTTTCCATTAAGATCAGCAATCACTTGCAAACTGAATTCATTAAAACTTATTTTGAAAAGATAGTGGTTATATTAATGCAAAAATACTGACAAGAGTGGAGTGTGATTGAACCTGAGTGCTTCTAGATTCCTTTGGAGAATTTTCAATAAAATTTATTTCAGTTAGTTTCAGATTCAAATTCAAACCTGAATTGAAATGCTAATCACTAATTTTACTTCTTCGGGGTTAAAGTAATTACATGAAAAATACAGACAATCAACATGAAAGATGATTTATGCGTTTGAGAAGGGCATAAAAGTGTATGCAATTTTGTTTTCTTGACCCTGTATTTCACAGATTTAATTTTTTATATGAATAATAAAATTATGTAGGTATTTTGTTAAAATATGCCAATACTCTTTTTATTTATTTTACTTTCTCTTTATTATTTCTGCTTAAGAAAGCAACACAAGCTTGAAGCTGGAATTACAAGAGATTATATTTTGTTAAAATGCTCATCTATTTTGTTATTTATTTGTTAGGACATGCAGATTGATTTCCTAGTGTTAATAATAAAACTTGGTGGACTATTTTATTAGCATATTCACTTTTTTATGTACAGAATTTGGTATAATTTTAACTCATTGCTTTAAATAAGAGGAACACTTTATGTTTTTAAATGTGTCCTTAAAAGAGTAAATAAATATATGATTGCTTCTAAATGTATTTCTATGTGAACCCTACATGTTCTAAAATTTGAAACTTACTTATCTCTTTGTAAGTAGTCATTTTTCAGAGGTAGTCAAGTTTGCTAAAATAGCTCCAGGTCTCTAGAGCATATGGCTAAATTCTATCATACAATCCATAGAGAAATGCCTTGCTTTGGCAATGGATTTTTCAGTTCCAGAAAACCCAAAATCTCTGTTCAATAGATGCAATTTATGAAATGTCATGGATGGGGTCATATGAGCAGTGGCATAAGCAAAGAATTCCTTTCACATGATCAGGAGGCTGAAAGGTTAATGCCTGACAGATATCACATGGAAGAAAGCTATTACAAAGTGCTTTTCAATCAATGAGATGTTATTATGAGCCATAGATCCAATTTCTTTTGATCAATGGGTGTTTTTACTACATTTACTAAGAGATATTCTATGGAATTCTTATAGGATATTCTTCCCCAGGCTAAAGGTCATGCTTCCCTTTTTATTCAGATTCTATCATAATGTCTAGTTTTACTCCTATTAAAATATACTTTTTACTTTTCACAATTTTTTTATCTAAAGATTTATTGAACACTATGCTTTAAGAAATTATTTGAATACCAACTATGTGCTAGGAAGTGAACTAGGGTGGGGTATTAAAATTCCAAACTCTCGAAGACGTTACAGAATTATGGAGAAACAAACATTCTCATCCAGCGTCATTCTATACCACACTTTGATTATCTTTTCTCTGGAAGTGAGTAATTCATTCTTCTGGGACAAGGGTGGGTGCAATCTACAGGAAGCCAGGAGGGTGGAGGGCCAGGAATACCTCAAGAGAAGGCAAACTTTGCCAGATTTTGTCAGGTTTAAAAACGGCCAAAACATCCCACACAGGGCACCCCTATGAATGATAGAAAAGCATACATTTTATTTATCTTGGTTTCCCAGGTCTGCAAGATTGATATCCTTTATGGTCTTCTGATAATGCATCATTGACTCTCCTTTGCCTAAGCTTCAAATACATAAAATAATCTTGAAGTTATTAATTTACTCTTCAAACTGTTATTAAGCTATCACTTTGGACAGGATGTTATTATGAGTATTGGGGATACATCAATAATTTTAGCTTGGTCTTCACCTTGAAGGCTTTTAAGATCCATGAGGCAAACAGACAATGACAGTTAGTTACATACAAAGGGATAAGTTGAACCTCCGCTTTGTCTTTATTGAAATACATAAAATGTATGTGAATGCACATCATACTATAATTCAATAAGGATATTTAAATATAATAATAAAGCAGATCATGTGCTTATAGGTAAAATAAGAGGAACATAGCTCAGGATACACTCTCCACACCATACAGACACACAGAGCCATAAAGGCCACTGATATAAACACACGGGTGATTTTACCATCAAGAAATTCTTTGTTAATTCCTTTTATTTTTATTTATTTATTTATTTATTTATTTATTTATTTATTTTGAGACAGAGTCTCTCTCTGTCACCCAGGCTGGAGTGCAGTGGTGTGATCTCGGCTCACTGCAGCCTCTGCCTCCCAGGTTCACATGATTCTTGTTTCTCAGCCTCCCAAGTAGCTGGGACTACAGGCATGAGCCAATATGCCCGGCTTATTTTTGTAATTTAGTAGAGACAGGTTTTCACCATGTTGGCCAGGCTAGTCTTAAACTTCTGACCTCAGGTGGTCCACCTGCCTCAGCCTCCCAAAGTACTGGGATTACAAGCGTGAGTCACCACCCCACGCCTGTTAATTCTTTTTAATGTAATGTATAATTATTATCCATGCCATTATTATCTTTAGTTTCTTGAAATGCATCAATGTCTTTGCAAAAATCAAACTCAGAGACACTCTGCAGCTCCAGCATTATTAGATTATGACACGTGGGTTTCAATATGGAAAACAATTAAAAGAAAAAATATAAAACTAATTGATTATAACATCTGATCATGTAACATGTAACAGCTATTGACCAAAAATCAACAGCAAACTGAGAAACAGCCCACTGCCAATAGCACAGGAAGATCCTAAAAATAATTGTATCCTAAAGTTACTAAAATGATTATCTTAAATACTCTCCACTAGCAGTGGACAGCTGAGGTCAAACTATCCCCGTCTTCCTTGGGTTTTTTTGCAGACATTCTGTGAGGGTTTGGCTTATGTGAAACTCTAATTCATGGAGTTACTGGCATCTCACGCCCATCTTCATGCATGCATTGTCTTTAAATCTCCTCCAACTGCTGTTGAAGATTCATTTTGAAGTAGTTGCCATTTCTCATCTCCAAAATGATGGTATCAAGAAGATTATGTTTTCTATAAAATTTAAATAGAGGAAATGCAAAGGACAATAGGTTTTGCGGGTCTGAAAAGGAAAAACAAGTCTGGCATATCAAACTGAATTAAAATATGAAGGCACAGAAGAAAAATAAGTGGGGTTTGCTGTATTCTATTGAAGAGTTATCAAAAAGGCATTATAAACATTTTCCCAAGATTATTCATTCATAAAGCAAAGCCAAGGCAACCTATCTATATAAGTTAGTTCTGACATTAGAATAATAAAATAGAATATGTGGCAGAAGTCAGATCACAGCGACTGTGCACACCATTCCAATAAGAATACATTTGAATAGGTTTTCTTATGTGGGCCAGGGGAAGCCCCTGAAAGGTTTGAAATAGAGGATTGAGGCTCTCTCCTCGCTCTCACTCACACACTCTCTCTCTCTCTCTGTCTTTTTCTCTCTCTGCCTCCTCCCCTTTCTGGCCAGTGAGCTCTATGGCAATCTAGGAATTGGTAATTAGGGCCTGAAATGAGGTGGGGGTGGCGCACATTAGCTTTCCTGTGCATCATCCTTAAGGCATACCTGGAAGATGAAAAGTGGAGGCCGGGCGCGGTGGCTCACGCCTGTAATCCCAGCACTTTCGGAGGTCGAGGCGGGCGGATCACGAGGTCAGGAGATCGAGACCATGCTGTCTAACACGGTGAAACCCCGTCTCTACTAAAAATACAAAAAATTAGCCCGGCGTGGTGGCGGGCACCTGTAGTCCCAGCTACTCCGGACGCTGAGGCAGGAGAATGGCGTGAACCTGGGAGGCGGAGCTTGCAGTGAGCCGAGATCGCGCCACTGCAGTCCAGCGTGGGTGAAAGAGGGAGACTCCGTCTCAAAAAAAAAATAAAAATAAAAAAATAAAAGTGGAAATAGTTGGTTTCCTTACTGAATAAGTGAGAATTGGTGTGGCTGGGAAAGTTTAGACAAGTCAATACCATCATCTGAACCCAAATTTGTCAAGTAATAAAATGCTAGAGTGAAATACGTACATTTTTAAGTCAGGAAGATATTTTGTCACCAGAACTAGGACTTGTGTTTTCCATTGAAGTAGCCGTGATTTTTTGGATTTCTGGGACAATTTAAAGGACCCCAGAGACAACTGAGCAGAAATCTGTAAGGAGATTTCATTGGATGGGTATTTTTCAGCATGCCATGTAAAATATTAATGAAAAATAACACAGAGATTTATCAGATATTGATAGTACAGTCTTAGCTGTTACTCCCCAAAAATGTTTTCCTCACAACACCACTGCAATCCATTTAACAAAAAAATAGATATACTGTCCAATATTTTCAAGAATCATTGTATCTGTGTTTCTGTGTGTGCGTGTGTGTGTGTGTGTGTGTGTGTGTGTGTGTGTGTTTTGACAGAGTCTGGCTCTGATGCCCAGGCTGGAGTGCAGTAGCACAGTCTCGGCTCACTGTAACCTCCACCTTCCAGGTTCAAGTGATTCTCCTGCCTCAGCCTCCAGAGTAGCTGGAATTACAGGCACTCACCACCATGCCCAGCTAATTTTTGTATTTTCAGTAGAGATGGGATTTCACCATGTTGGCCAGGCTGGTCTGGAACTCCTGAGGTCAAGCGATCTGCCCACCTTGGCCTTCCAAAGCACTGGCATTACAGGCTTGAACCACCACGCCTGACCTGTATCTCTTTGCTGGTCCCAAATTTTGCCCCATGATCAATAGTTAGACCACTGTACTTTGAGGATCCTGTATAATGAAATGCAACATGTCAGCTTATTGGAATCATGCAGTAATAGTGATCATGTTTGAAGAAAAATAATTGGCAAGTTTGCACATGTACTGAGATGGTTGCCTAGAGTAGCTCTTTCAACCAACTCATCGGAAGAGCTGGTGAGCTTCTGATTCTGTTTAGAATGTAAGCTGGAATGAGTGTTGTTCCCACACTAACCGCAAGAAAATAGTAGAATAACTTACAAAAACATAACGTTTTTCAACCATCAGAGAGCCAAGTTCTCAATGAAACCAAGCAGCCTGAATTCCAGGAAGAAACAAGACACTGAATGTGCACAGATCCCACACATGGTGGACCACAGGACACAGATATGCCACCACACAGGGAGGAAGAAGTCATAAAATGTACAACTAATCAGCAGAAGCCCAGCCTAGGCTGGGGTAAAGTATAAAACCCCTGGAAATTCAGACAAAAGCAAGTTTGCATTTATTTGTAAATTATCTCAAATGGACCTCACCAGGAACTCACAAGAGTGACTGGAGGCAGCACAGTGGATTGGAGAGGGTCTCCTAGAGGTGCAGGTGCAGAGAAGGCAGGAAAGGCATGAACACGGCCTGGATTCATCTCTCATTTGGAACAAAGATTTTAGGCTGCTGAGGGAAAGACTATGAATCCTGTAGCTCACCGAACACAGTGGACCATTGTTACTAAGGAAAAAATGAAAGTCAAAACCCTCCACCCACGGTGAAGGGACTGGAAGTCATCTCAACCTCAGCTTCCTATAGTAGTGCCCTCAGAGGTCGCCTGCTACATGGGGAACAGCAGGAACCACTCTCCTAAAAAAGCCCCACAGATAGAGGAACCGCGGTGCTGCCACGGTGAGAAGCCGCAAGAGCATTGGGAAAGTACCATTGAGGAGACCCAGAGGCGCAGCCAACTTAAAGGGACAGCTAGACTAGGGAGCTGGAGAGCACGCTGGACACCCGACTCCGGCCGAGCACACACCTGCTAGGCAGAGGTGCTCCACTGCGGGAGGAGGGCAGCAATGGAGAGGCCCCGTGTGGTGAAACAGCTTAAAGGAAAGGTCGGACAAAACATTCAAAAAATACAAACACAGCAAAGTCACCCAAGTAACCTCTCAGGGTGAGGTGACTGTATCATGCCCCAGTTTCATACTGAGTACATAGCACTATGAGAGAAAGTTGAAGTCTTTCGTGCTCTGGCAGTTAGCATAGAAATCAGACAATACGAACTAGGCTTAACTACCACCTGGGCTGACTTCAACCCACACCAGTGACCTGGTAGAAGGGGTATCATCATTCCCAAATGTGCATGCTATTTATTAATATTATGGATTTTGGTGTGCTGAGTATGATATCCAGAATGCAATAAAAAATTATAACATACACCTAACAAGGACAGAAAGGGGCAAAAATCAAGTAGGTGAGATTCAGAGCAGACTCAACTGCTACAACAATTTTATTGTAATTTTTAAAAGTAACCAAATGATTATGTTAAAGGCTTTAACGAAAATGGTGAATAATATGAATGTATAGTTGGAGGATGTTACTATATAAAGGGAAATGTAAGCATGAGTTGAATAGAAAGGTAGGTGAAGAGTATATGCTTTCACAGATGAAGAATCCCCTCAATGAACTCATCAGTAGAATGGACACAGCAAGGAGAAAATCAGTGAACTTGAAAATAGATCAATAAAAATTAGAGCAATTAAAACAAAATAATTAAAGAATGGTGTAAAAATACTAAGCCTCCAAGGTCTGTGATAAAATATAAAGTGAGCTAAAGTGCCTTTGGAATCTAAAAAGAGAGATAAAATGAAATATAAGAAATATTTGTGGAGTTAATAGCCAATAATTTTTCAAAAATAATGGAAGACATCAAACCACAAAACCAAGAGGTAAAGTCCAACCCAAATAAATACAATACAATACAACACACACACACACACAAACACACAAACACACATGCACACACAGAGAAAGACAGAGAGAGACAGAGAGAGAAATGATACTCAAACTGTTGAAAACGGAGAGTACAGATAAAATTTAAGAAGCAGCCAAAAAATCACATGTAGAATTGAGAGATAAGATTTACAAATATAAGAATTTAATATATAACAATTACAGCTTGCTTCTCATTAAAATTTATGCAACTGAAAAGAAAATGGCGTAACACCTCTGGAAGACTGAAAAGGAGATTCTCTAGATGGAATTCAACACCTCTGAATATGTTTTCAAATCCCATGGTGGAATAAAGGTGCTTCCAGATGAAGAAAATCTGACAGAATTCGCTGGAGCATGTCTGTGCCACAAGTAAATTAAAGAAAGTTTTTTAGGCTGAAGAATTATGATCCCTTAAAGAACCAGAAATAAAACAATGAAAGCAAATACACCAGAATTGATGTAAACAAAGAAAAATGTACAAGATACATGTTTCTCCAAATGTTATGGCTGTAGATCAAAGTCAGCCCACCAGCACCAGTGCCCCTAAACTCTCCACATCTCCAGACCACAGTTAAGTAACAGAATCCTCAAAGTCCCAGAGAGAACACTGGGTTTGTAATGAGAGTCCTGCGTATAAAGTCCTCCCCAGTGTAAAACCCCTGGCACAGTCTAACCCTGTTTGCTCAGATGTACTATGTAAAATCACCATCTCACCTGCTTGTTGTGAAGATCAAATGCTAGAATACTGAAAGCTTCACGTTGCTTTCTGAAGGTAATTGCCATTATAATTAAGTCAAGAAAAGCCCCATGAGCACTGCAGAGGACTCGTTGAAGAGCCGTGCCAGACATGGGTTATTGAACAACAACAAAAAAGAAATCAGAGTTTTACTTCTCAGAACAATGATACTTCTAGAGTTATCACAATAAAGAAAATCCAAAGTTAAATTCTGCTGATTCTTCTATGTTAGACAGCAAAGATGTAAAAATACATTTTAGAATTGAAATTCATGCAAGCTTAGAGGGTAAAAAGACCTAGGTTCAAATGTTATTCTCACAACCTACCAACTGTGTCTGTCGCTTTGGAAAATATTTGAGCACTAAGTCTGAGTTTGCATCCCCTCACCATGGGGTTAAGACAAGTGAAATACTCTGTACCTGACTAGACACCCCATACCACATCCTGACTGCTGACAGCAGGAGGTTGTGAATTTATCTACTACAAAAGCAGGCACCACATTGCTGAAGCACAGGAAATGCTTAATTATTGTCTATCAAAGGGACTGAGAGATTGCTGTTAAATATCGTTTAAAGTAGTTAAACTTAGCAGTAAGCTTTATTTCAGGAAAACGTGGCATCGTGTTCCTAAGTGATGCTAAATCCTGAAGGTCCCAAAAACCACAGTTAGAACTGGCCAGGTAATGAAGTCTGCCTATTTGGCAAAATAAATTCATAATCCATGGTAGAATTTCTGGAAGCTCTTTGTGTAATGAGGCATTGGTAGATAAGTCACTCTGTGTCTTGTTTTCTCTTTTGTTCAAGCTTTCCTGGAAATGCAGTTATTAGGTGATCTAGTGGTTTAGTCTCTCTCCTTACAATGGCTATTCTGATGCCTACCTGCTACAAGGTTGATATTTTTAGGATATTTGCAGAGAGGAAATCTTGACTCTTTTTTCAGTGGAGAGTGAGCTTGGAAGATGCCATTTCTCTGGTTGTAAAAGACTGCAGCGATTCTAAATACGTGCTGCGAAACTCAAATGAAAATCCCTCTGATAGAATCCGAAGAAAGTGTCGTTGCAGTTGGCAGCTTTACTCGTGTTTCTTTTAGAAATTTGTTCAGCAATTAAAAACAATTTTTAAGGCCGGAGTGGTGCCTCACGCCTGTAATCCCAGCACTTTGGGAGGCCGAGACGGGCGGATCATGAGGTCAGGAGATCGAGACCATCCTGGCTAACACGGTGAAACCCCGTCTCTACTAAAAATACAAAAAATTAGCCGGGCGTGGTAGCGGGTGCCTGTAGTCTCAGCTACTCGGAAGGCTGAGGCAAGAGAATGGCTAAACCCGGGAGGCGGAGCTTGCAGTAAGCCGAGATCGCACCACTGCACTCCAGCCTGGGGGACACAGCGAGACTCCGTCTCAAAAAACAAAAAACAAACAAAAAAAAAACCCACCAAATTTTAAAATGATAAAGCTCAGTTTCATTCCACTTAGTTTTTGTGTAACTTCTTTGGCCTCACTGTACAATCACGATGTTTTATTTACTGTTAATCCCTACTTTGTTAACAACTTACATACGTGTGTGTGCACACGGGTGTGTGTGTACATATTAAAAACCTAAGACCCAGATAAATTGTGATCATATATACACTTCCCTGATAATGTAGTCTCTATCGGAATTTTACTTGGACTGTCTTATGCTTATTAATAATCATGATTAGTCAACAGTCACTTTTACTTTGTGTCTGTAAAAAGTGGGTTCCCTTGTATCACCTACCTGGTGTCAGAGGACCAAAATTGTTGGGAGAGGTTTTGATCACTTCACCCAGTGTTGGGAGGGGCACCACTCCGGGGTTAGGAAGGACACCCCCTTCATCTTTGGAGTGAGTCAGTGCTTCTGCTGTTTCCCTCAAATGCTCCCAGGCCCGCTGTTCATTGGAAGGCCCTCCTAGAGAGCATCAGGAGCCATGGGGCACATCTCTCTGTGCCCAGAAGACCAGTGGTGCTTGCTTCTTTTGTGTCCCCTGTCTTCTGCAAATCTCTATAAGAAATGCCTTATAAAAATTGTCCTGATTTTTTTTTTTGATGGAGTTTCACTCTGTTGCCCAGGCTGGAGTGCAGTGGTGTTATCTCAGCTCACTACAACCTCCGCCTCCCGGGTTCCAGCAGTTCTCCTGCCTCAGCCTCCCAAGTAGCTGGGACTATAGGTGCATGCCACCACGCCCGGCTAATTTTTGCATTTGTTTTAGTAGAGATGGGGTTTCACCATATTGGCCAGGCTGGTCTCAAACTCCTGACCTCGTGATCCACCTGCCTCAGCCTCCCAAAGTGCTGAGATTACAGGCCTCAGCCACCGCGCCCGGCCCTGATTTTTACATTTGCTCAAGGAACAGTTGAAAAGATGCTGAAGTATTTGACCTTGGAAAACTGACAATACAAAAGTAAAGACAATCTGACCTTGGGATCACTGCAGTAATGAAAGCCCAAAGGTTCTGCTGATTTTAAATCAGGGCTTTGTGCCTCTGGCAACTCCTCTCAGTCATTTTAGTATTAGAGATTCTGCGAGTAAATCCACAGCTGGTTGCTGGGAGAAGGGCACTCTGTCTTCTGTTACTTAAACTCTTATCATGTTGGGAACTCGATTTGCCTCCAAATGTATTTTACTTCATGGGGGGCACCTAAGGAATACTTGCTGAGCTTCCCAGGGGTCCACCACAAACATTTCAGTCTCCTGAATAATTCACTGTGGTTAAAGTGCCCATGAAACAATCACAATGTTTGGAAATATATTTCCATTTTTAGCTGTGACATTTTCTTCTTTAGCTTTTCTCTTTCTGTTTTCTATAATTTTGTAGCTGTAAGATGAGAGACCATCTATAGTTTATTTGTAGTTTTTTATAGTTTTTCTTCATGATTGTGCAGATTTAAACTCTATTATTCTTTGATTTTAACCTTCCTTGGAAATCTTCTAAGCCTCTTCTTATGTGGCAGCCCTTCTTGCTGTTTTGATTTTTTCAATTATTTCTTTTCTTTTCTTTTCTTTCTTTTTTTTTTTTTTTTTTTTTTTTTTTTGAGACAGAGTCTCACTCTGTCGCCCAGGCTGGAGTGCAGTGGCGCAATCTCGGCTCACTGCAACCTCCGCCTCCCAGGTTCAAGCAATTCTCTGCCTCAGCCTCCCAAGTAGCTGGGATTACAGGTGCCTGCCACCATGCCTGGTTAATTTTTGTATTTTTTTTTTTTTTTGAGATGGAGTCTTGCTCTGTCGCCCAGGCTGGAGTGCAGTGGCATGATCTTGGCTCACTGCAAGCACCATCTCCCGGGTTCATGCCATTCTCCTGCCTCAGCCTCCCCAGCAGCTGGGACTACAGGTGCCCGCCACCATGCCCAGCTAATTTTTTTGTATTTTTTTTTAGTAGAGATGGTTTCACTGTGTTAGCCAGTATGGTCTCGATCTCCTGACCTTGTGATCAGCCCGCCTTGGCCTCTCAAAGTGCTGGGATTACAGGTGTGAGCCACCACGCCCAGCCTAATGTTTGTATTTTTAGAAGAGACATGGTTTCACCATCTTGGTCAGGCTGGTCTCAAACTCCTGACCTCAGGTGATCCACCCACCTCGGCCTCCCAAACTGTTGGGGTTACAGGTGTGAGCCACTGCGCCTGGCCAATTATTTCTCTTTTTAATCATCTCATGTTTTCTATGAATTGGCATAATCACATAGCCTTAAAAAGGCACGACCCCCAGGACAACCTCAACTATTTATTTAACTCCAATTATGTATCACGGTCCACATCAGTTGGGGATGCAGTGGTGAGAAAGAGAGAGAGGCTTTCTTCTTTGTGCAGATCATGTGGGTCAGAAATGCCTATTGTCCTGGAGACGCGGCAGGTGTCAAGGCTATTTGCTCATGTGAAATGTGGGATGCCTCGGAATTCAGGGGAACCTGTGGGATAAATAGGGACTGCTATGACCGCAGCGCCGTGATGGTACCAATGTGACCATCGTCTATCTCACCGCTACAGTGAGATAAACAAGGAAGAAGGGGAAACTGTGTCGTGTTCCCATTCTTCCAAGCACAGGAGCGATTGATTAGACATAGCTGAATGCCCTAGAATAAGCAGGGCTCATCTGCTCTAAAGAGGTTAACTTTAAGTCATGGCACTCCTAATCCGCTGCTTCTCCTCTTGACCCTGGATGAGAAGTCTCACGTGTCTACACACAATGCCTCGCCTGGTCCATTCTTTGTTGTCACTGCTTGGAGGGACCAGGGACTGGGAAGGATAGCTGCTCACTTCTCTGGCCCCCAAAGATGACAATCAGAGGCAGGGGGGCTCACTGCTGCCTATAGTCAGAGAGAGGAACAAAACAGGAGTCAGTCCTTCCTGCTCTCAGGAGCTGCGGGCTAGTGGAGAAGAGTGCCACAAAGAATTAAGGGAACTTCAAATCAATGCACCCTCCTGCTCTTCCGCCGGATTCCAAAGCCCACCTCCTCCACGAAGCCTGCTTTGATTTCTCTAATCACTCTATGCCACCTCTGAACCTTCTAATTCTTGCTTATATCACTTTTACAGAATTTACCATACTGTCTTATATTCTTGTGTTATGTCTTCTATTAGTCTAGAAACTCTGTTCTTATGTCTTCTATTCATCTAAAAACCCATGGAATATAGGAATCTGTATTACTCATTTTTTCATTTATTGCAATATCTACTTAATGTGCTTTTATAGTCAGGAACCTAATTATCTATGCAACTGTCTGTCTATCTAGCTATCTATCTGTGTGTATACCCATCTAAAGAAGACATTTCTCTACATATATTTATTGCAACTTGTCTTTTTTTTTTTTTTTTTTTTTTTTGAGATGGAGTCTTGCTCTGTCACCTGGGCTGGAGTGCAGTGGCATGATCTCAGGTGACTGCAACCTCCTCCTCCCAGGTTCAAGCGATTCTCCTGCCTCAGCCTCCTGACTATCCAGGACTACAGGCATGTGCCACCACACCTGGCTAATTTCTGTATTTTTAGTGGGGACAGGGTTTCACCACGTTGGCCAGGTTGGTTTTGAACCCGTGACCTCAGGCGATCTGCCCTGATCTTAGCACTTGGCCTCCCAAAGTGCTGGGATTACAGGCTGAACCACCGTGCCCAACCTATTTATTGCAACTTTCCTGATGATAGCTCTGTAATTTCCATTTTTAAGGCAAAGCTACACATCAGACTGTTACCAGCAGGAAACTTCCTAATCTTTTTTTCAAATGCTGACAAATCACCATTTTCAACTTTAAGGAAATATTTACATTTAAGGAATATTTACATTTAAGGAATGTTTACATTCCTTATTAAGGAATATTTACATTTAAGAAATGTTTACATTCCTTATTAAGGAATATTTACATTTAAGGAATGTTTACATTCCTTATTAAGGAATATTTACATTTAAGAAATGTTTACATTCCTTATTAAGGAATATTTACATTTAAGGAATGTTTACATTCCTTATTAAGGAATATTTACATTTAAGGAAATATTTTTCCTTAAATGTAGAGCTGTTATGATTTACTGATATAATTTTATTTAAAAATTATTTTAAACTATTAATAGATGCAAATGAATATTCATGATGTAGGCAGTGTATAAAGGACACACAGAGGCTCTGTACCCACTGTGTGGCTTAAGGGATACAGAACTGGAAAAATGGAATTTCCTTTGTAGGCTTTTCCTTCTGCACCTGCTACCGTCTCTTCCCTGAATGGGAGCCCCAATTCCCACTCTTGTGTTGGTTGTTCTCTGGTTTTCTCCTCTAGTTTTACTATGCACATCTATTTTCCTAAGCAATTCAGTGTGTAGCTACTCATATTCTTCATATCATGTAATGAAATCACATTGTGTAGGATCTTTGGGAATGTTTTTGTTTGCTCTTTTTCCAATCAACTGTCTATTGTTTTATTTTCTTCTTGATCTACTTATAGAAAAATTTGTGTTAAATATTTCATGATGTTAGACTTGTCTATTTTTATTAACAGTAGGTTGAGCCATATGTAATTACTGTTCCTGGAGGTCAAAAGCATTGGATATCTCCAGTTTCATACAGTTAAGCATAATTATCTTGTCAATTCTAGGTATTTCTGTTCCAAGGCTGTGTTAAAAGCCCAGGAGTCAATAACTGTTAGGTTTTCTGAAGAACTCAAACTCTTACCATGTGAGAGCTCTTTTAACCCTAGCCAAGGTTCTGCCTTGAAGTCTCTTTTTGAGATATTAAAAAGGCCACAAAATGCCCTTGGCCCTTTCAGCAGAGGTGTTACTCCAGACCCTGACCTCCTGCCTTCCCTTCTTGGATTTCAGTCACCTCTGGTGACAACACATACGTTGGCCTGCCCTCTACTCCTAAGGACCTGGATTCACCTTCACTGTTTTATTTCTAGTTACATCACAGGTTCAGCATCTCGCACGACTCTTTTCTTTTCTTTTTTTGAGATGGAGTCTCTCTCTGCCACCCTGGCCAGAATGCAGTGGCATGATCTCAGCTCACAACAACCTCTGCCTCCCCGGTTCAAGCAATTCTCCTGCCTCAGCCTCATGAGTAGCTGGGATTACAGGTGTGCGCCACCACAACTGGCTAATTTTTATATTTTTAGTAGAGACAAGGTTTCACCGTGTTGCCCAGGCTGGTCTCGAACTCCTGACCTCAGGTGAGCCACCTGCCTCGGTATCCCAAAGTGCTGGGATTACAGGCATGAGCCACTGCATCGGCCCAGTGGCTTTCTGCTCTCCTTTTGGATTTATTTATTAAATCTTCTTAACTATTTCTCCTATACTAATTTGGAAAGTAGCCGCTTTAGTTCTTATTTTATTCGTGTTCATCTGCATATTTTGGTTTGAAATTTGATGCAAGGAAATTAAGAACGCTTCTACTCCATGACATCTTCCCAACCTGGAAAAAATTCACAGGGGGTGTGTTTTTCATCCTAAAGGAGCTTCTCGACCTTGAAGAACACATTGGCAATGTCTGTTTAAGTTCCCAAAACTGTGGTCTCTGCCAGACATGCCTCTTGCACCTCACACTCAGCTACTGTGATGTCGCTTTTGCTATGTCGGAAATGGAGTTTAGAAGTTCCTTTCATTAGGGGATAGTGACGGCAAAAACAGTTTTTTTGTTTGTTTCATTGATTTCCTGAGAAGCCTTGATTTTTGCCCTCACTCCTGAAACACATTTTCTCACGGCACACGGTCCCAGGCTGACATTTATTATTCCACCAATGTATTGAAGACGCTCACTGGTTCAGGACTTCCATTATTGTCATTGAAAAACCAACTTCAGCACAAATTTATTTCATTTGTAGGTCATCTATCTATCTAGCCGCTTTTATGACGTGTTGCTTTGCGTTGGTTATGGTATTCTTTCGTTTCTCTATGATGCTGTGGATTTTTTTTTTTTTTTTTTGTATATTTAAGTTGGGGTCTTTTTGTAATTCCTGACTTTGAAAAGCAATTTCTTTTACCAATTTACACACACACACACACACACACACACACACACACACACTGCAACACACACACAGGTATTAGTGCTTTATGTTTTGTTTATTTTGTCTTTCTTTTCTTTTTATGACTCCAATTCTATGCATGATAATTTCTTTCAAATGAGAATTTTTGCAATTAATTTCTCAATGTTTTCCCAATGTCATCCCTCTATGTTGAATTTTGGATGTTTTTGTAATTTGCTTCCAGTTTAAATATTCTCTCTTCAAATACCTCTAATCTGTGGTTAGATTCATGTAATAATATTTTAATATTAATTTTTTAAAATTTATATATATTTTATTTGATACTTTACTTTTTTCAAATCTACCTGATGTTTTTTGATGGACTCATAGCCTTTGCTGATATTTAAGACTTTCTTTTCGTTAAACATTTTAGCATCCATTTTATATTCTGCCAGTGTTATAATATTTGGAGGCTTTTCAGTTTTGATTCTGTTTTTTATTGTTCCTTCTGGCTCTTGCTCCTAGTATGCTGTTTTTGTTTGGTTACCTTGACTATTAACTATGAACTTGCACTGTTTATGGAAGTTTTTCTCTGAGAAGTGATTGAGGTTAAATGTGGAATCTTGTAGGGAAAATCACAGTTGATTCTGCAATTTCACTGTGCATACTGCCAATTGGGTTTTCTGAATTAAATTTCCAGGTGAGTTTTCATTTTACCCACCCAGGTATGGAGTAGGCAAGTGGCAGACCCATGTGCAGCTCCACTGTGCGTGCAAGCTCTCGGCATGAGAGAGCAACCTCTCCACCCAGTGATAAAATTGATTTACACACATTTCTTTCCTCTTTTCCCAGAGAGTGGTAAGTATTAGTTCACCATGACCCTTACATGTGTTTCCCTGGGTTCCAGTTTATTATAAGGTGTCCTATCCGATGTATCATTTTTAGGGGCTGGTAGACTTAATCTCTTGTCTCTAGCTTCCTTCAAAGCTCTGAAAAAGGTTAAATTCACTTGTGTTTGGAAAATATCTTCAGGGTAAAAGACAAGTCAGAGCTTTGTTCATCTCTTTTCCTCCTGTTCTTACTCAGTGTTGACCTCTGCAGAATCTTCTTGGTATTAAAAAAATTATTGGTGCAATAAAAATAATATTAAAGTGTATTTTATTAATATTCTGTCCATTTAGTTTCCAATTGGAGGGTCAGTTTCCATACTGAGTTGGCTATGCAGCTGGAAACAGAATTCCTGCATTGCCACTGCAGCTGGTCGTAGAGAAGGCTGCAAGTCACCTGCCCCATCCCTGTCACGCTGAGGAGTTATTTGCCAAGCTGCTGTGACTGTAGCCAGAAGAAGCTCAGCTTTCAGCCACCTTCAGGGATTGCTTGGCTGAAGAAAGTCAGCTGCTCCTAGACAGACTCCATGAACTGCTTGTGGATGCAGGGGTAACCTAGGCCGTCCAGCCTCTGCATCTTGCAGGCTCTCCGGAAGCACTGGTGGAGAAGGCATCAGAGGCCAACTTTTCTCCTGCAACGTTGCTCCCTTCCAGCTTCTTCCCTTCCAGAATGGCTATGCCCAGAGCACACCCTGGGGAGCACAGTGCAGGCCAATCTCCATATCAGAGAAGCTGCACACAGGGCTGCAGCTTTGTGAGACCCTCCACCACATTGAAAAACTCAAAAAACTTGATGGCATCCATTAACACCTCATTTTCTAGCTAAATAATAATAATAAAAAAGATATCTGCCTACTCTTTCCTCCTGTTCACAGCCAGAAAGTTTCTTCTTTATCTCACCCTTGGCTTAATTTACACCAACAATTTCTAATTTGTGCAAAAATACTCATATTCTCACTCCATATTGGCTAAGGTATATTTTAAAATCTTCGTTGCTTTATTTGCATGAATTTGTTTTTATAGAAGGCTTTTTTAGAAGGACACAACTTCTAAAATATGGTGTCACTCACTTCAGAGTCAGAGTGGTAAGCTGTTTCATCTCCAACCAATTTCGCTCATAAAAGAGATTGTCCCAGCCGAGCATGGTGGCTCATACCTATAATCCCAGCACTTTGAGATGCTGAGGTGGGCTGTGGTCTCACTTGAGACTAGGAGCTCAAGATCAACCTGGCCAACATGGTGAAACTCTGTCTCTACTAAAAATATAAAAATTAGCTGGGCATTGTGGTGTGTACCTGTAATCCCAGCTACTCCAGAGGCTTAGGTGGAAGGATGGCTTGAACCCCAGAGGTGGAGGTTTCAGTGAGCTGATATCACACCACTGCACTCCAGCCTGGGTGACAGAGCAAGACTCCATGTCAAAAAAAAAAAAGAGTGATTGTCTGTGCTCACAATGCAATTCTCCACAAGACTGGGGCAGGAGGCTGTGGCCATCTGGGTCCCACTGCTGCCCCCACCCTCCCCCAGAAGCTGGTTACCCCGTCTAGCAAAATGGCAGCCTCCTTGCAATTGCAAAGACATCAACACATCCGCTAATACTTCAGCACAATCAGCAGCAGTTTTGCAAATAATCGAGCAGTATTTATTAATCCTGCACATGCCTCGCACTACTCTTGAGACACCTTTGTAGTATCATCATTAATCAGGATAATCAAATTTCTCTTTCATCTTCATTCTGTGATTACTAAGCCATTTTGTCAGGCACACACAATTCATTCATTATTATGAAAAAATTTATTTCTTATAAACTTCAAACAACATCTTCCTTATCTTCAATAGCACATAGTCTATTAGGAAACAGATACCATTTTCCACACTGAATAAGTATAATTCAGAAGGACATTTCTAAATAATACCTCATCTGGTTTTATGTTCAGTCTATCCTATTTCAATGCTTCATTTGACTGGAATCTACAAAGTGATATAATTCATCTTTAAAGTTAGGATAATTTTCCTCTTCTCCTTTGGAAAGTTCTTTTGATGGATATATTCTTGTCTGAAAGTCACTTGGCACTTTTGAAAAATTCAGTGTTGGTTAAGTCTTAGTTAACATTACATATGCATATTTTTCTTATTAAGAAATTAGTGATAATGAGTGTGAACGATTAGACTAAAGGGAAAAACTGCTTCTGATAAGGAGATCCCTTTCACCTTATTTAAATTTTAGTTATAAAGTTAATTTTACAGTTTTAATATTTTATTGTGAAGCACTTATTTTTTTTGTTTAATATGGTTTAGTGCCTCGTAATTTGCGGACCTTGGATGAGAATCACCCTGAGGAATTTTTTTTTTTTGAGACGGAGTCTCACTCTGTCCCCCAGGCTGGAGTGCAGTAGCACGATCTCGGCTCACTGCAAGCTCCGCCTCCTGGGTTCACGCAATTCTCCTGCCTCAGCCTCCCGAGTAGCTAGGACTACAGGCCCCTGCCACCACGACCGGCTAATTATTTGTAGTTTTAGTAGAGACAGTGTTTCACCGTGTTAGCCAGGGTGGAGCCCTCATAATGGGATTAGTGCTCTTATAAAGAGACTCCCGAAAGGAATTTGCCCTCTTTCCCCTACGTGAGGAGTCAGTAAGAAGTGAGCAGGCTGGCCCGGGCATGGTGGCTCACACCTGTAATCCCAGCACTTTTGGAGGCTGAGGTGGGTGGATTGCCTGAGGTCAGGAATTCGAGACCAGTCTGGCCAACATGGTGAAACCCCATCTCTATTAAAAATACAAAAAAAAAAAAAAAAAAAAAATTAGATGGGCGTGGTGACATACACCTGCAATCCCAGCCTACTTGGGAGGCGGAGGCAGGGAAATTACTTGAACCAGGGAGGTGGAGGTTGCAGTGAGCCGAGATCACACCGCTGCAGTCCAGCCTGGGTGACAGAGCAAGACTCTGTCTCAAAAAAAAAAAAAGAAGTGGTCTCTGTGTTAGGTATTTGGAATAAGAGGCAGCAGTTAAGGCTGCCTGTTGTAACTCACCCTGATTGAGTTCAGGTCTCGGTTCTGTTTCTCTCTGGTGGAGTGACTGCAAACAGGTTACTTATCCTAAGCATCTTGTTTGGTATTTCCAAATCGGAGTTAATACCTGCATCACCTTCACTCAGTGGTTGGGAGAGTTAAATGGTTATGGATCAATATGAGCTGTCCTTGCAGCAGTGGCCAGCATATAGTATGCTCAGTAAATGTTAGCTATTATTACCATCAAATGTAAACGTATCCGTTTCACAGATGCCTGTATGAATGAGGAAAGAAATGAAAGATAAGAGGTTGCTGCCACTGAGAGAAAACAGAACAGAAGAGACAGATGCAGAAGAGATAGTAAAGTGGCCTGCAATTTTGTAGAAGCCCTTGGTCGAAATATATTTGTGGCATTATGAAGTGAGTCTTTTTATAGCACCAGTTTTCCAGTAATTTGCATAACATTAACTATAATTATCACCGCTATTACTATTACAATGACTATTATTGTTTGGCTCTCTTCTATACTAAATGAGTATCTGTTCTGGGAGGGCCTGACAGTTCCGATTACTGAGTTAACAGCTGGACCAGTGTTTGAAATTCTAGCATATACAAAAATAACAAGGTGTTATTTTAATGTATACTGCTTGGAGCTAATAGGTGGATGCTGTGGGGAGTCCAGTTTTCTTTGCTACGTCAAGGAACTTATCACGCATATTGTGAAAGGAAAAGCCGTGACAGGCACTGTCCAAAAGCACTTCTGTAGGAGAAATGCCTGCACCTGTCCGTCCCCCAGCAACAGGTGGTGACCAAACCCGTGAAATGTGGCTGGTGGGGCTGAAAACCTGGGTTTTTAATTGTATTTAATTTTAATTAATTCCACTCAGATTTAAATGGCCACAAGTTGCCTGTGGATGCAGGATTTGCCAGCACAGCTATGGTGCATGAAATCTGCTGTAGGAAGTCGATGCTCAAACGGTTTCCACGGAGCAAGTGAAGCTGAATGAGGGGCACAGAGGTGGGTTGTCATGCGAGGAAACTCCCGCTGGGAGGGGTCAGCTGGGAACAACCAAATGTCATCTTGGTGAATCCAGGCTTCCTTCTTACGGATGTCCTCTGAAAATATCGCCTTTCTCTGTCACATTTATAGGAGTATTTGGCTTGTATTTATTTACTTTGATGGAACGGATTTTAAAATGCCAGTTACAAGAAATGAGACACCGTTATCGACAATTTGCTAGAACTCAATTTTTTTTTTCTTTTAAGAGATGGAGTCTCGTGCCCAGGCTGGAGTACAGCGGCTTGATCTTGGCTCACTGCAACCTGCGCCTCCCGGATTCAAGTAATTCTCCTGCCTCAGCCTCCCAAGTAGCTGGGCTTATAGCTGCGCTGCCACATGGAGCTAATTTCTGTTTTTCTATTTTAGTAGAGACTGGGTTTCACCATGTTGCCCAGGCTGGTCTCGAACTTCTGAGCTCAGGCAATCTGCCTGACTTGGCCTCCCAAAGTGCTAGGATGACAGGTGTGAGCCACGTGCCCGGCCATGATTGTATGTTGTTTGTTTTAAAGACCTGACATGTAATTGCAATTTGAGGGATTCAAAACACCTGAGAAATCCAACTTAGTCACTAGTTTAGTCTCTTCAAAGCGCTGTTGTTCTTCTGCAAATATTGTCAATAAGTAATACTATACTAAGGTGTGGCTTAGCCATCCATTTTAATCAGGCCTCCTTTTACATATCGGAGGATGTTTCTGCCCTGATTACTTCATTTCCTAACTCTTGTGCCTCTGGAAAAACACACGTCTGCAGTTTCCTCACCAGAACAGGTTTGTTCGGATGTTTAGATGGTTGTGTTGGCTTTGGACTTTTTATTAAAGTCTCATGAATTTCTTCCTCATGCCAAGATGAGCAACAAAGGTGGAAGTCTTTTTAACAAATTGAAAGACAGATGAACGAGAACGACATGGGAGGAAATGTTCCTCCACGTGACTGGGGTGGAGGGGGCTAGAGAGGGCATGGGGTACCTCCCACTGGAAGTATACTTGGGATTTGAACACATGTTCCAAGAGCAGTGGGGAACTCATGGCATCTGTCCAGCATGGGGCGTCATCCTTACATTTCACTGGAGGCTGTTGAGCTTGAATTGACAGTGGGTCCTGCCTGCCCTGTGTGGGGCTTCTCCTCATAGTGTCAAAACATGAAGACCCTTGATCCACTGAAGCCGCCTTTCGCGCCATGGGGGGATGAAAGAAGGAGTGTCAGGAACTCCGGAGGGTGCTGTGGAAATGCTGGAACCTGGACACTGAACTACACTAAAAGGAAATGAAGACAGGAAAAATCTGAGCTTCAAAGCTGGCAGCTTGTAAACCACAGAGCAAGGATTTGAATACTTGGGTAAGACAGGTCTACACACTGCCTTCCGTGGCTCAGCCTCCTGAGAGGCTATTCTAGAATTCATGGCCTCCTGCAAGCACCATTAGGAGTGACTTTTGCACCCACACCAGCATTTTTTTTTTTTTTGGCCTGAAAGCACCATCCTGTCAAACTCTAGAAGTGTATTGTAAACAGTAGATTGCAGGCAGGAGCCGCTTTCTTCAGTGGAAAAACCCAGGCTTGCTTCTTCATCTTCCACTATATTCCTCTCAATCAAACTTCTGCAGCCTCCCCTGCCTTTCTTGTGCCCTTGAAATAACCTGCCATGGCATGAGCAGCACCTGGTTCCTTTAGGAAATTGATTATTCTTTGATTTCACACTCTCTTAGCTTCCTCTCTAGTTAGTGTGATACTGGTTGAATATTCCTGCCTTCCTGGCTTTTTTGTTTCATAATTCTCATTTGCACCGAGTTACAATAGTGAGACATCGTTCAGTAATATCTGGAAGTCTTTTGCAACAAGCTCCTTTTGATAATAGAATGCAAGGAAAATGGCAACTAAAATGTCCTTATTTAAAGTGGGTATTTTCTACTTTTGGTATTTGGTACAAGAATTTGATGCCAGAATGAGAACAATAAAATTACATGGAAAATTGTTATTATGAATCATTGAATATTTAATGAGTTAAGGAAATAAAACTGTCAAACACCAGAGCTGGGATGAGAAGCTGTGAAGGGAAATTGATAAAACCGGAAACCTGAAACGCTGCAATTCTGCTGAACGCCGCAGCAGCAGGCACAGCCCCTGAGTTTCCGCGGGTTCTCACCCTTACAAGAGAATGCCGCAGTGCATTCGGTTTGGTGACTTTGTTGGAAACAGCTTCACTAAAGAGAGGAATAAGACCTTCCCTCTTAAGGTTTTTGTTGGTTCTTCTTGTGAACTTGGGTTTGGTGTTCAAGCTTAATAGCAGGCAATTAATTTTTTATTAATTTTTATTGCATCCTTTGCTACAATCAAAGCTATGTGAAGGGCACTGACATGATCCACCGCATCTGACGGCATCTTCTCCTCCTTTCAGAGCCGAATGCCCTGCATCTTGCAGAAAGTATATTCTAAATTCTTCATTTCTGATAATCCAATGTCCTTTCCTATATTCGGCTGTGTAACTAGTGTTGAAGGGACTTCAGTTCTCTCAGAATTTCAGCCTAAGTCACCAAAGTTGAAGACAATATGTATCATTAATTTGTATCATTACCCTGGGAGTCTAAAGAGAGTGAAATGCTTTCCACTAAGAATTGGCCCTCATCTGTCTCCTGCCCAGGTCAAATGATGACCGGGATCCCAGGAGCTGGAGCAGCTGTCTTTGTCAGTTCAAGTGCTGTAAGAGAATACCGTAGATGGGGGTTACAAATCTAAGTGTAGCTGTCTGAGCTCAGGATGCTGGACGTCCGAGATCAAGGTGCCAGTGGGTTCCATGTCTGATTAGGGCCTACGTCTGGGTTTTCCACCTTCTCACCTGGACGTCCGAGATGAAGCTGCTGGTGGTTCCGTGTCTGATCTTCTCACTTGGAGGGGAGCAGGGAGGAAGTGTACTCTCTCCCGGTGTCCCTGCTTAGAAGGACACTGAGCCTATCACAGGGCGCCACCCCATGACCTCGTCACTTCCCAAAGGCCCTACCTCCTCATGCCATCCCATTAGGGGTTGGGGTTCCAACACATGGATTTGGGGGGACACAGACCTGCAGTCCATAGCATTCCTCATCCAGTAATGAGTTGCCAGCTGAGGCAGAGTGTGCTTCTTCCCTTCCCCTAGCATCGGAGCCAAGTGAGGGGTCACCCAGCCAAAGATTCCAGGAGCCAGGTAGAAGGAGAGCCCGGAGCTGCCTCCGTAGCTGAAGGCAGCTGAGTTGTAGAAGCCCTCAGGGGTGTGAGTCCTGGAGCCACGGACTTTCCATCCTTGCAGTAGGGCAGGAGGTGGGGGAGATCTTGTGGAAGTGGAGGTGGGGGCAACAGGGACAGGGGACAATAGGCGGGGTCCCCTGCTGCTCCTGGTGCTTTAGGATGCAGGAATCTGCGGGAACGTGGGTGCTGCAGCCCGCAGCAGGGCCGGCCTCGGCTCCACTCTCCCTCCCTGGGGAGCAAGGCGGCTGGTAGTGGCTTCCCAGCAAGTCATAGTAAGTAGTTGAGGGGCAGGTGCCCACGGGGTTCTTAAAAGCAATTTCCACTCAATGAGGCCTCCTGTGCTGAGGTCCCCGGGGTCTTGAGAAGAGCCTGCCTCATTCCCAGCACGTGAGCCTGAGCGTGGGTCTCAGATGGGGTGGGGCACCAGTCTGGTGGACTCTGATCTCCAGGAGGGCCCAGGATCTTCCTCTGTCAGGTACTTCACCACAGCGCAGCCCGGTCACCCGCTGTAGGAAGTGGTTCTCATTCCTGTCCCCGTGACTGTGGGTGGGGCTATAGCTATTTTAACAGGTAGAGAAGAGTGGGAGTGAGCTATGGGACCCTGGAGGCTAAGTCATGAAGGCAGTACAGTATTCACTCTTTCTGCCAGGCCGCTCTTACTTGGAGCTCAGATCCCCCATTCGCAGAAGGAGTCTGAGGACCTCCAGGATCCAGCTGTAAGGAAGCCCAGCTCCACGGAGAGGCCGCAGGAAGCATGGGGAACCATCCCCATCTTGAAGAGACTCTGAGCCTGGGAGTGATGAAGGCTCCAGGGACCCCAGCTCTGCATCAAAGTCACCCTCAGTCACCGAGTCTTCCCAGCCGAGGTCCGAGACAAAGAAGAGACCACTCTCACTGTGACTGTCCTGATGCCTCCCTTGCTGCGTGGACACCTGGACAACAACTCCTGCCTTCAGGTCATGAGGTCTGGGGGAGCTCCTTGCAGAGCTAGAGTCACCTTGTTAACGCCTTTACTCAATTTCTGCTGAACGCCCTCTTCTCCTCCCTGACTTGGTAGAATTAAAAGCAGCAACAGAAAACTGTAAATGTGGGAGTGAAATGGCAGAGCAAACCAGGAGCAGGCCTCCCCTTCCGCGGGTCTTCAACAGATTCAGAGCTGAACTGGGGATGAGAGAGTGAGGAGGAAATAGGAGATGCTTTGGCTGGCTTTGAGAGTGATATTTTAAATGATTTAAATTACTAAAGTAGGACTCACATTTTTACTGAAAGGTGATCAGAAAGCTGTAAGTTTTATCCCAGATGAACTCGGGGAACAGGAAGAGAAATTACTAAAGTAGGACTCACATTTTTACTGAAAGGTGATCAGAAAGCTGTAAATTTTATCCCAGATGAACTCAGGGAACAGGAAGAGAAGATACAAAAAGCCACTTTGCCAACAGGCTACTTTCTGAATGCATCCCACGGAACTCAAAGAACTGGATACACTTCAGGCTGTTTTAGTTTCCTAGTGTGTTAATTACTTTTATCAGTTAGGTTAGCCCAGGTTCTGATGCATTAACATACAAACCCCCACATCTTAGTGGGTTAAAGAACAAAGCTGTATGTTTCATCGCTACTGCAAATGCACGGCAAGCTAGCTGGGGGCTGTGTTTATTGGAGTTTCTCAAGAACCCAAGCTGTCAGCGCAGCTACCACCTTAGACACTGAAGGTCACTTTGCCAGAAGGAAATAGACCTCTGGAGAGCTTCACACCGGCAACTAAATGCTTCATGCTCAAAATGACATGCAATTATTTCTGCTCAAAATTTGTTAGGTAAGATTAATCACGTGGCACCTCTCAATCGCAAGAGATCACAGAGTGAAATTATGGCATGGCCAGGAAGGCCAAAATTTATAAATACTTGGTGAGCCACAGTGACCACCATAGCTATTCTAGGTTGGAGAGTTACAGCAAAAATAAAGAAAGCATATTTTATGGTGAGTCTGAGCAAAGTGATGAGGCTTAAATGAAAAAGAAGAATGACAATTGTTTTAAATGCTAAAATAAGAAAGTTGGAACCTGGAAGAATACTCAGGGAGTTGCAGTGATTCAGGAAAATCAAAAACACACTGAGGAAAATGAGTAAGTGTTGACATCAGTCCTGGGGGCAAAGCGAGGAGGGGGAGGAGGGGACAAAGGAGAGGGATAGACTTAAAACCTGTTACTGGTACAAAGTTGTCTATGATTATTGATACTTTGCATATCCACTGTTAGAATAATTTATTTTATTTAAAAAACATAGCTCAATGCATTGTAATGATAGTGGGAAAATACCAGTTGAATTCTTTTGCCACATTCTCCTAACGGTGAAAGAGTATGTGTCTATACAATGGAAGATCAGGTTTTGGGAGTGATATTTTCATTTAGAGCACAGTTAGCGTCTGCTTATGAAAATGGGACTGAATCTATGGTGTGTTAGTTGTGAGGAGTCAAATTCATTACTTTTCAAATATATATTTTTTTTAGCAAGATCACTTCTTCAAGAAAATCTAGCCCACAGAAAAGCAGAAGACTTGGCAAAGAACTCACGTGGATAAGGTGTGGATGTGAGTGTCACCCGGATAAGGTGTGGAGGTGGGTGTCACCCGGATAAGGTGTGGACGTGGGTGTCACCCGGATAAGGTGTGGACGTGGGTGTCACCCGGATAAGGTGTGGACGTGGGTGTCACCCGGATAAGGTGTGGACGTGGGTGTCACACGGATAAGGTGTGGATGTGGGTGTCACCCGGATAAGGTGTGGTGTGGGTGTCACCCGGAAAAGGTGTGGGTGTGGGTGTCACCTGGATAAGGTGTGGGTGTGGGTGTCACCTGGATAAGGTGTGGGTGTCACCTGGATAAGGTGTGGGTGTGGGTGTCACCTGGATAAGGTGTGGGTGTGGGTGTCACCTGGATAAGGTGTGGGTGTCACCTGGATAAGGTGTGGCTGTGGGTGTCGCCTGGATAAGGTGTGGGTGTCACCCGGATAAGGTGTGGGCGTGGGTGTCGCCCAGATAAGGTGTGGGTGTGGGTGTCGCCTGGATAAGGTGTGGGTGTCGCCTGGATAAGGTGTGGGTGTGGGTGTCGCCTGGATAAGGTGTGGGTGTGGGTGTCGCCTGGATAAGGTGTGGGTGTCGCCCGGATAAGGTGTGGGCGTGGGTGTCGCCCGGATAAGGTGTGGGCGTGGGTGTCGCCCGGATAAGGTGTGGGCGTGGGTGTCGCCCGGATAAGGTGTGGGCGTGGGTGTCGCCCGGATAAGGTGTGGGCGTGGGTGTCGCCCGGATAAGGTGTGGGCGTGGGTGTCGCCCGGATAAGGTGTGGGCGTGGGTGTCGCCCGGATAAGGTGTGGGCGTGGGTGTCGCCCGGATAAGGTGTGGGCGTGGGTGTCGCCCGGATAAGGTGTGGGCGTGGGTGTCGCCCGGATAAGGTGTGGGCGTGGGTGTCGCCGGGATAAGGTGTGGGCGTGGGTGTCGCCTGGATAAGGTGTGGGCGTGGGTGTCGCCTGGATAAGGTGTGGGCGTGGGTGTCGCCTGGATAAGGTGTGGACGTGGGTGTCGCCTGGATAAGGTGTGGGTGTGGGTGTCGCCTGGATAAGGTGTGGGTGTGGGTGTCGCCTGGATAAGGTGTGGGTGTGGGTGTCGCCTGGATAAGGTGTGGGTGTGGGTGTCGCCTGGATCAGGTGTGGGTGTGGGTGTCGCCTGGATCAGGTGTGGACGTGGGTGTCGCCTGGATCAGGTGTGGACGTGGGTGTCGCCTGGATCAGGTGTGGACGTGGGTGTCGCGTGGATCAGGTGTGGACGTGGGTGTCGCCTGGATCAGGTGTGGACGTGGGTGTCGCCTGGATCAGGTGTGGACGTGGGTGTCGCGTGGATCAGGTGTGGGTGTGGGTGTCGCCCGGATAAGGTGTGGGTGTGGGTGTCGCCCGGATAAGGTGTGGACGTGGGTGTCGCCTGGATAAGGTGTGGACGTGGGTGTCGCCTGGATAAGGTGTGGGTGTGGGTGTCGCCTGGATAAGGTGTGGGTGTCGCCTGGATAAGGTGTGGACGTGGGTGTCGCCTGGATAAGGTGTGGGTGTGGGTGTCGCCTGGATAAGGTGTGGGTGTGGGTGTCGCCTGGATAAGGTGTGGGTGTGGGTGTCGCCTGGATAAGGAGTGGACGTGGGTGTCGCCTGGATAAGGTGTGGACGTGGGTGTCGCCTGGATAAGGTGTGGGTGTGGGTGTCGCCTGGATAAGGTGTGGGTGTCGCCTGGATAAGGTGTGGGTGTCGCCTGGATAAGGTGTGGGTGTGGGTGTCACCTGGATAAGGTGTGGGTGTCACCCGGATAAGGTGTGGGCGTGGGTGTCGCCCGGATAAGGTGTGGGTGTCGCCCGGATAAGGTGTGGGTGTCGCCCGGATAAGGTGTGGGTGCAAGGTGTGGGTGTCACCCGGATAAGGTGTGGGCGTGGGTGTCGCCCGGATAAGGTGTGGGTGTCGCCCGGATAAGGTGTGGGTGTGGGTGTCGCCCGGATAAGGTGTGGGTGTGGGTGTCGCCCGGATAAGGTGTGGGTGTGGGTGTCGCCCGGATAAGGTGTGGGTGTGGGTGTCGCCCGGATAAGGTGTGGGTGTGGGTGTCGCCCGGATAAGGTGTGGGTGTGGGTGTCGCCTGGATAAGGTGTGGGTGTCACCCGGATAAGGTGTGGGTGTCACCCGGATAAGGTGTGGGCGTGGGTGTCGCCTGTATAAGGTGTGGGTGTGGGTGTCGCCTGGATAAGGTGTGGGTGTCACCTGGATAAGGTGTGGGTGTGGGTGTCGCCTGTATAAGGTGTGGTGTGGGTGTCACCTGGATAAGGTGTGGGTGTGGGTGTCGCCTGTATAAGGTGTGGGTGTGGGTGTCACCTGTATAAGGTGTGGGTGTGGGTGTCACCTGGATATGGTGTGGATGTGGGTGTCTCCTGTATAAGGTGTGGGTGTGGGTGTCACCTGGATAAGGTGTGGATGTGGGTGTCTCCTGGATAAGGTGTGGATGTGGGTGTCTCCTGGATAAGGTGTGGATGTGGGTATCACCTGTATAAGGTGTGGGTGTGGGTGTCACCTGGATAAGGTGTGGATGTGGGTGTTGGGGAGTACAGGTGGGGTTCTGCATCCCCCTTTAGTGCTAATTCTGCCTCCAGTTTCCCCTGCGCTTGGGCATCCCGGGCAGTTCCCTAGAGGTCAGGTTGAAAATTGCCAGACACCTTTTATACAGGGGAAAGCTGATGCCAAGAAATATTAAGTATTTTACTCAAGGCCAGACAGGTAATTAGTGGCTGATCTTGGACTACTGATTTCCAGCCCAGGGATTTTTTTCCCTAATCAAATATTAATAATAACTAGAGAATTGTTCTTTACTTTTCTATTATTATTATACTTAAGCAAAGATTTTTCCTTCAGCCCCTTTGACATAGTTAAATAACTAATGACTTAATTCCAGATGTAAAATCTTGGGGAGCATTCTTGGTGTCTCTAGCGGCTTCCTGACACTCACCAGCAATTCCTTCAGGCGGCTTTTGATGTTTTCTGGCTTCATTACCTCTTTGCTATCTGCTGATTTGATGAAAGGGCCATGGAGAGAGAATGACTTAGCAAGTTTTCTGACAGAGCTGGAGATTTCTTTTCTAATACCTTCCTAGTACATTCTGCTCCTCCGATTATGCCAGCTCCTTTATTCAGGCATCCGTCCTTGTCTCGCCCAATCAATGGAATTTCTCAATCAACGTTAGCAGGCTCACATCATTCGTTTCCATTGTGAGACTGTCTCCTGATTTCCATACTCATCTTCCCTCCATAGTGCTGAATGTTTCATGCATCGTCCACGGCTCTGTCCTGGGACACAGTCATGCAGTCCATTCTATTCTGCAGATCATTCTTCTGGAAACTTCTCAGAGCCTCACTTGCAGCTTTGTCCTCTGTTGAAATGAATTCTGCTTTTCTGATAACTTTGAAACACTTACAATAAGCAGTCATCATTGATCTTCCTCAAAATAAATTTTCTATATGGATTTTTTTGACGGTGCACTACTTAAGATGCAATTATTCAATTGACCGTACATGAATAGACTTTACCAATGGCACTAAAGAGTTTCTGAAGACACTATTCGAACTTTAGGAAGGTATAGTTGATGACCAAGACAGTCATATATTTTCCCTGATCTCAGCCCTGTGCCTTCTTTGATGAGCCCTTACATTCTCAGACATTGGGCAGCATTAAACCCTGAATGTAAGAATTATCTCAGGCCTATTCAAGTGGTTTAGTGGAGGTGAACTTATGATCCAGAACCTGATCATTTTGTCTAGGGACAACAGCCCCCATGGCCTAGGAGAACCAAGTTCTCTGTTTACGTGAACTGCTAGAAGCCACTTCTAAGTCAAGTGATGGCATGATGGTGCGATGAGGGTGATTTTAATGAGAAATTATATCTTGCTGATTCTTTCAGCAACCTTGGTATTTTAAAGGTCATTTGTATTTTCTTTTCTGGTAGAATTATCAGATCATTCCCACATGACCGGCAGGTAGATAAAACACTTCTGCCAACAATGCATACAATACATCAGGGTACATCTTCCTATACCTGTTGGCCATGTATATGTCTTCTTTAGAGAAATGTCTATTCAAGCCCTTTGCCTGTTTTCCACTCCAGTTTACTATTATTATCATTATTATGTTGCTATTGAGTTTTAGGAGACCCTTGTATGTTTGGATATTAGGTAACTGGATATTAAGCTCTTCAAAGCTGACAGAATGAGCGAGGTCCTCCCAGGCCCCACCGTTGCTAAGGAAACCTCTGCCCCTGGCAACCACCACGATCCAAGCGCCGGACAAGAGATCTAAGAGTGGGCGCCACTAATTTGCTTTCAGCCCTAGAGTGTGATCTGTGATGAGCTGCACTACATCCAACAAGTGTTTAAGCTCTGCCATAGCTGGTACGCATCTATCTGCACATGTAGGTTAAGCTGAAAAGCATACAGCATAGTTTAACTCATGCCCCAAATCTTAATTATTAACGTATTTAATATTCTAGTTAAAACTGAATTACCCAGAGCTGCGTCTCACTTCATGAACACGCACATGAAGTGATGAAAACATCCTTAATCATCAACTTCAATTTGTTTAGATTTGAATTTTTAAGGACTTTTTTTGGTAGCAGCACATTTCTTCTCCTCCCCCCCCCTTCTTCTTCTTCTTCTTCCTCCTCTTCCTCTTCCACATGAAAACTCAAGTAGAAGCTGGAGATGTAAGGTCACAACATCTGACACTGATTGGTTAAAAGCAGAGATTGGGCTCAGAGTCCTGCGGCCGACACCTCCTCACCATGTTCCACCCTTCTCTGCAGCAGTTCCTAAGGTACTCTGAGAACTTTTACGTGCCCAGGAAACCAGTTTCCAAAATCTTTGCTCTCGATCACAAACTGCTTAGGTGACTTAATGTGTGCCTGCAGTGAATCATGATTAAATCATGTGACTCTTGAAATAACGAAGCAGAAGAGAGCAATTCCAATCTCCCATTCTCTCATGTGGGCTACAAAATTTTGGGCTACATTAGTCTTAAAAAACATATATTTAGCGCCTGCTGTGTATGAGAAAGAGTGTCAGGGCTGTGGACACAATGTGAACAGGAGAGACACAGTCTCTGTTCTCAGAGGTCTTATAGTCCAGTGGAAGATTAGTGTGATATGAGGAAAATCAATTTAAAAATGTATTTTTTAAATGAGTGTTACGAAGGAATAAAATCAGGGGTAAAAATAAAACCATAGACTAAGAGGTTAGGAAAAGCCAGGACATGAAAGCTAAACAGAGACTTACAGGAAGAGAAAGAACTGGTGGGCCGTGGGGGGTGGGGAGGATGGGCCTGGGGTAAGGGGGCCTCTCAGAGGAGACCAAGCACTGGTGCCACTGAGAGGGAGGAGCCCTGCTGTGTTTGAGAAGCTGTGGGGGTGTCCTGATTGCGGCTGTGATTTGCATTTCCCTGATGATGAGTGATGTTGTGCAGCTTTTCTTATACCTGCTGGACATGTGTATGTCTTCTTTGGAGAAATGTCTGTTCAGGCCATTTGCCCATTTTCAAGTAAGATGATGATGATGATAATGATGATGATGATGATTCTGCTATTGAGTTTTAGGAGATCCTCATGTGTTTGGACATTGACCCCTTATCAGCTGTATGGTTTGCAAATATTTTCTGCCATTTTGTAGGTTAGCTTTTCACTCTATGAATTGTTTTCTCTGCTGTGCAGAAACTTAGTAGTTTGATGTAGTTTTACTTTGCTTTTGCATTTGCTTTTGTTGCCTGTGCTTTTGATATCATATTCAAGAAATTGTCAAGACCAATGTCATGACACTTTTCTCCTACTTTTTTCTAGGAATAATGGCTATCATCAGAAAACAAAAGATAACAAATGTCGATGAGGAGGATGCAGAAAAATCGGAATGTTGTGCACAAAATGACTCAGCCACTGTGAAAAACAGTAAGGCAGTGCCTCAAAAAATTAAAAATAGAACTATTATACGATTCAGCAATCTCACTTCATTTCTGGGAGTGTATCCAGAAGAACTGAAGTCAGGATCTTGAAGAAATATGTGTTCTTCTTTATTTATTGCAGCATAATCCATAATAGCCAAGATACGGAAACAACTTAAGTGTCCATTGATGGATGAAGAAAATGCAGTGTGTGTGTGTGTGTGTGTGTGTGTGTGTGTGTGTGTGTGTGTGTGTATGCAATGGAATATTATTCAGCTTTAAAAAAGAAGGGAATCCTGCCATGTGGGACAACATGGATGAACCTGCAAGATGTGACTCAGCAAGACATAGAAAGATAAATACTGCATAATCTCACTTATATGAGGTTTCTAAAGAAGTTAGATTCAGAGAGTAGCATGGTGCTTGGCAGTGACTGAGGGGAGGTGGACTGAGGCATTTCTATTCAAAGGTATAAAGTTTTAGGAATAGAAGATGTGTAAGTTCTAGAGATCTGCTGTGCACCATGCCCGCAGCTAATAATACTGTACACTTAAAGATCCGTTAATAGGGCAGACTTCAAGTTTAGTGTTCTTACCAGAATACAAGAAGCAGGATAAGGAAGGAGGCAGGGGCAGGGACAATGGAAAGAAGGAGGGGGATGGGAGGAGGAGGAGGAAGATGGGAGGAGGAGGAGGAAGAGAGGAGGAGGTAGGCAGTGTGTGTGGAGTTTCCTGAACAAAGAGTGCAGGATCGAAGATAAATTTAGAGAGACTGACAAGGATGGAGTCTCAGGCAGCTAGAATGGAAAGGTTTCAGGTATGGGAATGTTGCTGTTTAATGTATTCTTAAAAGATGTGCTCTGATTCTGCATGGTAAATAGATTACATGATGGGAACCATCAAAAATAAAAGTAGGGGAGCCAGAAGTGCATCGTTTTAACCAGCAGAGCAGTGGCCATCTGATGTGGCCTGTCTTAGGGAGGGATTCTACCTCTAGACTTGTAGACATGGTGCAGAGACAAGAGAACTTTGCTTTCTCCTCTCTGGAAAACTAAATATTAACGAACTTAAGTTGAATAAATAAAAAAAATTACTCTTTCAGAAAGCATATGGGAGGGAAGACACCTGTGACAAAGCCCTGTGACACCAGCCAGAGTATTATTTCAGGAAACATTGTTTGTCATACGATGGAGAAGGACATGGCCTCTTCGACGCAGAAGCAGAAAACCAAGGCGAGAGATGAGGAGGAGGAGGAACAACAAAAGGTTTGAAGAGAAAAAAATGTTGTAACAATTAATGTTAGCAGAAATCACATTGCAGTGTAAGAGAAAATAAATGATGTAACTTCTAATCTCATGCTTCATCCATAGAATTAATGTCACTATGACTGTTAAATGGCATTTGTTTTTGAGTTATTATTTTGATGATAGTATTTTTTCTTTGAGTTCTGTTAAAGAAAAAAATTATTTCAACACTTGTTAGAACAGTAAGGAAACCTTCATTCAAGACTGCCTGAAAAATCAATATAATAGTAAAATTAACATAAGGAGAAGTTGGTTCATTAAAATACATCATGAGGTTTTCCATGACTATTAAAGTTGAATTTTAGGATGGACTCTGGGTTTTCTAGTGACTGAAACAAAGAGGAAAATATTGTCCCAGAAAGGCTTCCATTTTCCATAGGATGAAAGTAAAGATTTTCTAAGCATGAAGGCCCCACTTACTATCTGTAATAATTAATATTACGGCTGCATATTCTTCTTTACATACATTTGTAAAATAAAAGCTAATTCAAGCTTAAAAGTAATGATGCTGATTTAATATCATTGAGTCTTTCTTGATTATTAGATAATAGGCTGCATCTATAGTTTCTCCTTCTATTAAGGGGTTCTATTTCTTATCAAATATAATATGATTTAGCTAAAAAAGGAAATAAAAATTCAACTTGGATCGATGTTACAAAATTTATATTTTAAATCATTTCTAATTATAACATATTATGAAGACAAAAAATTCATCCTCGTTCTTCTTTCTATCATAAGTCTATCACATAGCAAATCAGATGTGTTCATGTCTCTTTGTTTCAGCAACCCAGAAACTCAGAATCATTTGAAATGCCACTTCAATAGTCACAAAGGTTTTTAGGTGTATCTCTTTTTGCAACTGAGAAAAATGATTTTTCCTCTTTAGCTGCGTGATGTGATGGATTACACTGACTATTTTCAAATTTTAAACTAGGCTCACATGGCTAGTAAATGCTACTTTTTTAAGGTTTCTAATTATTTTTATGCATTGTTGGGTTCATTTTGCTAATATATTTCTGATTATTTGCATCTATGGTCAAGAGTGATGCCGGTGTGGATTTAGCTTTTCTTGCACTGTGTAACTGATTTTGACATCAGGATAATGCTTGCCTCATAGAATAAGTTAGAACGTGTTCCTTCTGTTTTCCCAAATTTCTGGAAGAAATTGTTCAGTACTGGAATTATTTCTATATTAAATCTTTGGTAGAATTCACCAGTAAAACCATCTGGGCCTGGTGTTTTCTTTTTTGGAAGATTATTAATTATTAATTCAATTCATTAATATATATTGGTCTATTCACATTGTCTGTTTCTCCTTGGGTGAGTTTTGGTTGATTGTCGTTCAAGGAATTGGCCTATTTTATGTAAGTTATCAAAATTGCAGGCAGAAAATTGTTTGTGGTCTACCTTTATTTTCCTTTTAAGGGCCATGAGATCAGTAGTGATGGCCCCATTTTCATTTTTGACGTTGGTAATTTACCATTGATAATTCTCCCTCTTTTCTTGTGAGTCTAGGTAGAGGTTTATTGATTTTAATGATCTTTTCAAACAACCAGTTTTTTGTTTTTTGTTTTTTGTTTTTTTTCTGAGACAGGATCTCGTTCTTTCACCCAGGCTGGAGTGCAGTGTCAAGATCACAGCTCAATGATGCCTCAAACTCTTGACCTCTAGTGATCCCCTGTCTCGGCCTCCCAAAGCACAGGGGTTGCAGGTTCGAGTCACCATGCCTGGCCTTCCAGCTTTTGTTTTCTTTGATTTTCTGTATTGTTTTTCTACTTTCAATTTTATTGGCTTCTGTTCTAATTTTTGTTACTTTTTCTTCCAAGTACCTTAGCTTTAAATTGGTCTTCTTTCCTTAGTTCCCTAAGGTTGAAGCTTAGGTTATTGATTTTAGATCTTTATTATTTTCTAATGCATACATTTCATACTAAACATTTTCTTCTGATCACTGCCACACATTTATGTAAGTTTTTCTTTAATAATTTAGATCACATATATTTTAATTTATCTTGAGACTTCTGCTTTGACCCATAGGAGTTATTCTGTTTAGTTTCTAAATATTTAGGAATTTTCCAGTTATCTCACTGTTATTGACTTCTACTTTAATTCCATTCTGGTCTGAAAATACATCTTACATGAGTTTTTTAAATTGTTTGTTTTATGTCCCAGAATATGGCTTATCTTGGTGAATATTCCAGGTGGTCCTGAGAAGAGTGTGTATTCTGCTGTGGTTGGATGAAGTCACCATAATGTCCCATTACTTGATGGTGCTGCTGAGTTCTCATCTGTGTCTTTCCTGAATTCCTGCCTGTGGGCTCTGTCCATCTCTGATAGAGGACTGCCGCAGTCTCCAGCTATTGTAGTGGATCCATCTATTTCTTGTTGTAGTTCTTTGAGATTTTGCCTCATGCATTTTGGTGCTCTGTGCTTAGGTGCCTACAATTTAAGGATTTTTATGTCTTTTTGAAAAGTTGACCCCTTTATTATTATGTAGTGCTGTGCTTTATCCATGTTCATTTTCCTTGCTCTGAAGTTGGCTCTGTGTGAAATTAACATAGTTCCTCCAGCTTTCTTTTGATTAGGGTTACGATGGTATATCTTTATCACTTTACTGTTAACTGATGTAATTCTTTATATTCCAGTGGAAGTCTTTTAGATAGCATATCATTTCGTCCTTTTTTAAATTCACTTTGACAATTTGTGTCTTTTAATCAAAATTCATTGTCTGAGTCAAGAGGTTTGGCTGTGCCCCCGTGTCATGCCCTGCTCACAGTGTGTGTATATTCATTACCTCATGGATTTTTTAATGCTACAAGATGTTTGGGCTAACCACCACACCTGCACCACACCTGCCACCTGCACACCTCCTTAAAATACCTGCACCACACCTGCCACCTCCAAGCCAACTCAAAACACCTGCACTACAGATGCCACCTCCATATCTGCTACCACCACAGCTCTTCAATACACCTGTACACCTGCCACCTCCACACCTCCTCAAAACACCTGCACCACACCTGCCACCTCCACGCCTCCTCAAAACACCTGTACCACATCTACCACCTCCACACCTGCTACCACCACAGCTCTTCAGTACACCTGTACCACACCAGCCACCTCCACACCTACAACCCCCACTCCTCCTCAATACACCTGCACCATACCTACTACTTTGTCTGCATATAAAAGGCAACTAATAATGTTCTGAGAGACATGAATAATCAAGGAACTCCCTCATGTCCCTTCTTACTTGTGTAGCTTCTTTGTATGACCCAACCATTTGTGCTGAAGAGAATGAGCTAGGATGAAAAGAAAAAAATGGTGAAACCCAAAGGTCTTCTAACAGGCAGAGGTGCCATGGCAAGATGTGTGGACATCACCCTTCCAGCTCCTTCCTTTCCTCCTCTGGCATTTTTCTGAGATAAATATTTGACTCTCTCTCTCAATGCATTGATCTGGGATTGAAAGTGAAGTTTATGTAACAGACAGCGTGATCTTCACTTCTGTTTCAGTTTTATGTTCAGCTATGTTTCTCTGGTTTAATTGTTGTAATATCCCAAATTAGAACAAAGGTTCTGGTTTAATTTTTATAATATTCCAAATTAGAACAAGAGGACAGAATCTCTATCTTGGAAAAAGCTGTGCTTATGTGTGTGTGAGCACATTTGCTTATGTCATTTTCTTCACAAAGCAGGCAGAAAAAGAGGAAGAATTACATAGATAAGTTATAAAACCCAGTGCTTGGTTTTTTTCTATGACAATAATTTTCTTGTCCTGTTATGTAAAAAAGAAACCCTTACTTTCCCAATGGTACTACTAGGTACTATGTACTAATTAAGGTTCATACATATTTAAACTATTCTCAGAGATTTTCTTCCAAAAATCAGTTAACTATGTTTGTAAAAGAGCTCCTAAATAGGAAAAAAATTTATTTCATTGGAACAGGTTAACCTGCATTCACAATACAAATCCAACATTTACTGCGTGCCTTTAACCAAGTTACTTAATTAATCTGAGCCTTATTTTTTAAATATTTAAAATAAGAAAAACATTTCTCATCTTGAACATTCTTGTATGAATTAGAGATAATAAATAGAAAAACTTTAGTGCTTATGGTAGCAAATGTTACGTACATAATCAATGATCGTTACTACCACTGATGCTAATAGCATTGATAAAATGCTTCAAATCAATATACTTAAAAGGCTATTGAATGGTGATTTAAAGAGAAGTCATCATATTTGATTGATGTTTAGAGTGCCCAAGAGACCTTCAATTTTGTTATTGTAATTGTTTTACTAATACCACCAAATTGATCTGACAATATTGACTATGGTATTAAAAAGATTTGATTTTAACATAAAATTGTTGTCTGTTCCTCATGATGTATGGCCAGAAGCTCGTGGGTGACTAAGAACATTCTTACTGGGTTTTAGTTTGTGTTTTGCATTTTTTGGTAAGTTTTCCTCTGCCTGAATTTCTCTCATTGACTTTTTTTTCTGTTTTAAAATATTATACATTTTCATCATGTAAATTTGAAAACTAATACAAATAATTTTAGATCAATAACCTTATTTTTGGAATATAATTCCTTTCAGTGTTGTAATATGTCCTGAGATTTATGTGCTTAGTTTCTCTGAGATTCACCTTGGCCTCTTCCTGTTTTCCTGGATGCATTCTCATCTCTGGGCAGCGTCATCATTACCCAGAGCTGCAGAGAACAAGCATCTTAGGGTTGACTCGGAAGAATATTTTTCCTAGCTTGATTTTTTAAATGATAGGTAGATAGAGAATACACACACACACACACACACACACACACACTATATATATATATATGTATATATGTATTAATATATATGAATGTATATATGTATCTTGATACAGTTTTACTCTGTGTCCCCACCCAAATCTCTCCTTGAACTGCAATCCCCATAATCCCCACATGTCAAGGGCAGGACCAGGTGGAGGTAATTGGATCATGGGGGGGTTTCCCCATTGCTGTTCTTGTAAGAGTGAGCTAGTCTCATGAGATCTGATGGTTTGATAAGCATTTGTCATTTCCCCTGCTTGTACTCACTCCTTCCTGCTGCCGTGTGAAGAAGGTGCTTGCCACTCCTTTGCCTTCCGCCATGATTGTAAGTTTCCTGAGGCCTCCCCAGCCATGCGGAACTGTGAGTCAATTAAACCTCTTTTCTTTATAAATTACCCAGTCTCAGGTATTTCTTCATAGCAGTGTGAGAAAGGGCTGATACATATCTCCTCTGGCTATTCCACAGGCATCTCAAAACTAATGTAGCATCTCTATCAGTGTGAGTTTTTAGATGAATTTCCTCAGAGGTTATTTCATTGAATATTACAGGGTTCCAGCTCCCCTTTTCTTAGCTTTTCTTGCAGAATATGAACTATTTAAAAGTTTAATTATGGGACATTTTGATTGAAACATTAAGTATGCAGATTAAAATGAGCTTATGTTTAAATCTCCATTCACCTTACCTGGCTGTTGCTACCATCACTCTCGTTAGATCCATTAGAGAAACAAAATGGATTTTTTGTGTGTATCTGTTTTAAGGTGTCACAATTTCTTTGCTGCCTTTGAATAGCGATGGGTGTATTCTGCCTTTTTTTTTTCTCCAAAACCCCAGGTACACACATTTTATCACAGCATAGTGCTCACTTCTACAGAGATAGGCTTGCACTCAAACATTCTAGCATCGAATACGGGCGTTTGCAGGGTAAGCCCTGGTTCTGTGCACTGTCAGCCAGTTTTCAGGAGACAGCAGATCACAATGGATAAAGTTACAGAAGAACTGTACCTCCTCTTCCAAATCCCAGCTCCCGGTTACAGAACCACTGTCGTGTCTCCCACGTGAGGGGAAGTGGTTTGAACGGTTGCTGGTGGCCTTCACTTGCGTGCTTGTCAGCCGCAACCTTTCCTCCACCCTGAGATGTTGGATTTTCCTTCCCTTTCTTCTGCTTCTCCAGTTCCCCGCAAGGACCTCTCTGCATAGTTGGACCTTCAAACACTTTTTAAGTACACGCCTCTGTTTCCGTTTTTACTTACACATGCCCAGAACTACACCTCTTTTCTCTTTCATATGTCCTCCTTCAGCTGCTCCTTACTGCTCACCGTGGTACACCGAGGGCCTGATGGAAGAGTCTGTGGTCATCTCGTATGGCTCAGCTGTTCTGTATCGCTCACCCTGGCACACCAAGGGCCTCATGGAAGGGTTCGCGGTCATCTCATATAGCTCAGCTTTCTCCCAACTCTGCACACGAAATCACTCACTAATTCATGTTAAATATCTCTTCAGAATGTTTTTACATAACTCTAATCAGTGTTCAGACCATGGTTCCAGTACATCGTATGTGGAATCTCTTAATAGCTCCCTTACTGATTTTCCAATCTTCTAGATCTATTTTCCCCTTATTATTTTCCTTCAAGTAAAAATCTTTCTAACGTTCAGTCTGCTTATATCCCGTCTGATATGGGGTAAATTCTGTCCCACCAAATTTATATGTTGAAGCCCTAACTCCCAATGTGGCTGTATTTGGAGATGAGGCCTTTAAGGAGGTGATGAAGGCTCAATGAGATATAAGGGTGGGGCCCTCGCTCGGCCTATAGAACTGGTGCCCTTATAAGAAGAGGCATTGGATCTCTCTCTCTCTCTCTCTCTCCCTGTCTCTTTGTACACACAGAGAAGAAACAGGTACAGCCAGGTGTGTGTGAGTGAAGATGACACAGTGAGTATGTGGCCCCCTGTAAGCCAGACAGCAAGACCTCACCAGGAACCAACTCTGATGACGCCTGGGTCCTGGAGTTCTAGCTTCCAGGACTGAGAAATATGCTTTTGAGTTTAAGTTGTGCATCTGTGGTATTCTGTACAGCAGTTTCCAAGTTCACTATGGGTCAGTGAGTCATCATTCCTGAGGTTGGCTCAGCATATTTTATAAGTGCCAGAAGGTCTCCAAACAGCAATTAAACAATTCTCTCCTACAGCTGAGGGAAGACTGCTGAAAATAAGGCTCAAGATATGGTTATAGGAGCCGTGGCTATATAAGGAAGCTCCATTGACAGCTGTACTGCTGTGAGTCTTCTATCTCATAGGGAATGAATAGAACCCTGACATAAGGGATGGATGATACCCTCAATCTCCCGGATTCCCCTGGACCCTCTGAGTCAGCAGATGTAGCCCAAACCTCTGACGCAGAGACACAGCCTTTCTTTCCCTGGAGACTCTGCAGTGGCTGCTTACGGGGTGGATTACAATCATCAGTCCAAGATTCACTCCACTCTCCCTTTTCATCTGAGCCAGCACACAGGACGAAGCCTCCGAATGAGACCCAAGTATTGTCCTGATGGGTGTCCAAAAGAAGTGTTATGTGGCTCTGTGCTTTCTAGTGGGAATTCAGTAGTGGCTAATGATTTACGGCACCAAGGATGATCCTTGGTACTTTCCACACAACAAACCCATTGGAAACCCTGCTAAGATTGCCAGAGGCCAAGACCGCGACCTGCTAACCTCTGATTTGGCAGCTTCGCATAAGAGCACAGTATGAAAATACTGGAAACATGTTTAGATAATAAAGACAATGCCAGAGTCAAGCCTAAGAGTTATCAGTGGGGTCCACAGTGACCGAAAAAGCAAACAAAACAAGTGACATGTGGAGATCTCTAGAAAAATGGCAGAATTAAAAGAAAATGTAATGTTCCCATTATCTAACTTCAGTAATTATCAATATTCACAAATCTTGTTTCTTCTTTTATAACACGTTCATTGTTTTTTATTTATTTAAATATGTTAAAGCAAACTTCAGCCATCATATCATTTCTTCCATAATTATTTAGTATTTCTAATAGATTAGTGCTTTTTAAAATAAGCATAACTACAATACTATCCTCACACTTAAAGTAAATAATTTTTTAATATTCTATATCAAAACAATTTTCATTTGGTTAGCATGTTTCTTAAATATCTTACTTCTATGAAGTTTATTTTTTACTTATGCTCTGAAAAAAATTTCCAGTTGTTCTACTTTTCATTGTAATCAACTAACGATCAGTGGTTTAAAGTGTTGTCAGTCTGACCCATCTATTACAGAGTTTCCATCTATCTTTTACCTAATTGTTTAAGCAACTCTGGATGATTGCAAATTTTATATATAAATAATAATATATTTTATTATCTGTATATTTGCAAATTTGTTGTAAGCTAATATATATAATATATATAACTATATGTATTTGTTATAAGCTAATTTATTATATATAACAAATTAGTTTATAACAAATTTGCAAGTACCCAAATTATTAGCTAATATATATTATATATAAACACAACATATATAACATTACATATAACATTATATATAACATTATATTGTTAAAGCAAACTTCAGCCATAATTATATTAGCTAAGCTAATATAATTACTTATTCTTTTATTTGCTGAGGTAATACTGTTCTGCAATCTCTGCTAATATGATTGCTTATTCTTTTATTTGCTGAGGTAACCCTGTTCTGCAATCTCCGCTAATATAATTGTTTATTCTTTTATTCTTTTATTTGCTGAGGTAACCCTGTTCTGCAATCTCAAGTTGGGCGCTTTGTAAGACATAAACAGACTTGCTAGTCTTGCTTTCAATGATGTTCTGCATGGGTGGGTCTTTTCTTAGTGCCCTGGAATTGTCAGTTTGCTTTCAAAATTGAGGATGAAACACACAGCATTGTAAAGACAAAATCTGGTGCCACCTATGCCCTTAAGCATAAAGAGTCAAACGAACTGGAGGTCCCACAATCAATGTATCTCCCTCGGCAAACACAGAATCAAGCTCTAGGGAAGAAGACAGTAGCAGAGGAGGGAGAAAGCCTGAGATGTCCCCGGGAGCATCCAAAATAAGAGTGAGAGGCTTTCCTCCCCTTCAGAGGGATGATGGAGGAGGGGGCCCTGTCCTAGCTGCTCACACTACAGCAGGCCCAAGGCAAGGGGACCTGGCATCTCACTCCCTGGCTTGGCAACCATCAGTGTGGAAACATCCAGGCTCCTTTTTACTGACCAATTCACAGGAAGTACTGCCACTTGGGTAAGGTGGTATCACAGGGCATGCTACCAGGCACAAAAGAGAGATTTACTTAACAATTTGGAGGGCAGTGATTAGAGAAAAATTTCAGAGCTACTTTGTGTAAAACATACCCAGTCAGGATAATTCGGCAAACCTTCCCACTAGAATGACCCATATCTAGATATGCTCAAGGGAGCTGGGGGCCCACGGCTCAGATTATCTGATGTTTGTGCCCCTCAAAAACAGAGTTCTTGTGGGAGAGCTTAGCTGGAGTAAGAATGACCTGTATGCTTCATATACATATATCTTCAAATTTCATATGAAGGCATTACAGGCTTCTTTTTTAGTTGATCACAGCACAGAAGAGAAGATTTGGTCTAATCTTTCAAGAAATAAGAATACAGAAAAAGAGGGATTAAGTTTGGCAGACATAAATGTTAACATCTTTGAAAAAAGTAACATGTCCCATAGAAAAATTTCAAATTTTGTATATTTTACAGTATATGTTCTCTACTGCAAAACAGCAGCATATATAGCATGAATGTTTATTTTTATGTATTTAGTTATTTATTTACCATGACAGGGTCTTGCTCTGTCACTCAGACGAAAGTACATTGGTACAATCCCAGCTCACTGCAGCCTCAACCTCCTGGGCTCAAGCAGTCCTCCCACCTCAGCCTCCTGAGTAGCTTGGACCACAGGCACGTGACCACACCTAACTAATTTATTGTTATTATTATTATTTTGTAGAAAAAGGGTTTCTCTACGTTGCCCAGGCTGGTTTTGAACTCCTGGCCTCAAGCAATCCTCCTGCCCCCAAAGTGTTGGATTTCAGGCATGAGCCACTGCACCTAGCTAGCATGTACATTTATTACCCTAAATGCTAAGGAACTATATAACAACTTCAAGCATTCTTGTTGAGCCATGAGAAATTCTATCTAAGAAGCCATCTGTTTTTAAGGCAGAGTGCTTAGAAATTATTCTAAAATAGTCAAGTTACATTTCCATCACAAGTAAGTACAGACTTATACTCATATCTTCTTAATGACTGAAATACTTGAGGTTCGTAGAGTAATTGCTCAGAAACTCCATTTCATTGTAGAGACAGCATAGATATTTAGGTTGATTTTTCTGTAAAGGATATAGGTATTTTTTGTCTGAATTTCTGATCAGGCTTACTTGATTATGATTTGGTGAGCTACCTACAACTTCAGGGAGAATTTGGATTGATTAATAATTAGGCTTTCCCTGTGTTACAGCCCAAGTCATTGGATAGGGAGCCCACCATCCCAGGTTTAGTATAAAATGCCTGGCTGGGAAGGACAGATTCTTACTTAATGGCCTGGGAGGAGCAATGATGACACGGTGTGGTTTTCATGGATGTCACAAATAGAAAAATTACTTCTCAGCTCTCCTATCAGTCAATTTTTTGGTTCTTTGTTTAGCATAAAATGAAAGGCCCACTGTTGGGGATGATGTGGTCCATTTAGAATATTTTTAGTATAATAAAGGGAAAATGTAGCTGCTTTTGGTAGTGAGTTATTTGTGATCTCTTCTCCTTAGTTCCCCTCTAGATATGAAATAAAATTAGAGTAATGGACATAATTAACTCTGAGTCTCATCTCAGAAGGATAATTTATTACCAGGTTAAAACCCCTTGAACCAGAACTCTAAGTGATTTGTGGTGATTATTACACAACACTTCCACAATTTTGCTGACCTAGTTTTCTTTTTAAAAAAGAAGGAGAGAAACTAAATTATGGAACAAAAATGAGCCTTACCTATTTCACTGATTGAACTGGTTTTGTCAGCCTATTTTTTTTAAAGCACCTTAAAATCATTGCATTCTTAACTCATCGGCTATGTCAAGGTAACTAAGATTTTAGTACCACTGGTCTTTGAGATGGTGTTCAGAATGCCATGACAAAGTAGGTCAACCAGTTGTATTATCTGCTCCACCAGGCCCCTGGTTCTGCAGTGCAACCTGAACCTTTTCTCAAGGAGGCTGTACTCAGGTCAAGAGATGAAAAGCCAGAAAACAAATTTAGAAATGATATGAAATTCAGAACAAAATGTCCACACCTTATAACACCTATAATAATAAAATTAAATTAAATTAAAATTATGATCGACCTATTAGTTTTCAAAGCATAGTGCTCAATATCCAAGCAAGGCTAAGGTGAGAACGCCTTAATAGCACGACAGCAAGTTGGGGTAACCAGATTGATTTCTGAGAAATTCAGTAACAGCATATTTTTAAATGGCAATATGGAACCAAGAATAAGGTCAATCCAAACCACATATGGAGAGAAATGGACAGACAGCTGGCATGAGTTCTATGCACCGTGAGTTCAATAAAAATGTGCACTATGAGGAGACTGTGGAAAAGCCTTATGAAGGCAGCATTCTAGCGTCATGGTTTATTTCTGTGCCTTGAAGCAGCCTGGAATGTGTTATAGGAAAAGTGGGGCTGGGCCCAAGATTTCAGTCTTCTGCGGGACCTCGTCCATTTACAATCGAGGACTGTCTTTTACTATTCTGTGTGTGCTGCTCCTGCCAATTTCTGTTCACGTCAGGGACAGGTGAGGGTACTCATTCTAATTTCCGTGATTGGAATTGTTTGTATTCTGTGTCAATTACTATTTGGAGAACTCTAGAATTAAAAGCTGCAAATTGAAGTCCCTCTTCCCCCTTTAACATAATTGACTCTAATTATATAACTAATTTGAATTTTATTGCAAAAGTTTTCAGTGTAACTATTCAGAAGAGAATGATTATCAGCAAAGACAGAGAGGGAGAATGATAATAAAAATTCATCAGGGCGTCTTTAAGAATATTTTTTTCAAGCTCCTTTTCTGCAAAAATAGGAAATAATTTAGCTAATCTAGCTTCTATTTCTTGCTCTTCACAGGATGTTAATGCTCTAACAGGAGTTGGAAGGGAAATAAGAGAACTGGATTTGCCGCATTCCTAAATGTGATTGTATTTCTATTTCTTCTCAGCTTTGCCCTATTTCAGAGGTGAAGACAATTCTTTGCTTAAATTACTTTCCGTTCAGATCAATAGCAAACTGATAAGCAGGTGCCCGAGAGGCCCTGGATAGAGGAATGACTGCTGACAAATCAGGATCTCCAGCTTAATGACCTGCTGGGTTAAATATACGGAGAATCTGATCTATTCTGGCATATGGGATCTTTAACACCAAAGTGAAAGCTTTACTTTGAACCACACGGGGAGCACACAGCCACGGAATATACCAATAAACCATTTGCATAATTATTTTGCTCAAACCTTTTGCAGGCAGAACCCTGCAGCCTCAGCGGCGTCCTCTTCTTGGATATGTGCGAGGGATGTGCTTCCCAGACAGGTGGTGCTTGAGGGCAGAGCGCTAATGTCCATGTCTCACCTGTGTACTGTTCAGTGTTCAGAGGGTCTACTGTTCAGAGGGTCCACCTGTGTACTGTTCAGAGGGTCCACTTGTGTACTGTTCAGAGGGTCTACTGTTTAAGGGTCCATCTGCGTGCTGTTCAGAGGGTCTGCCAACCTGTTTCCAGGGTGTGTCCTGTTCAGAGGTCTACTTTTCAGAGGGTCTGCCTGTGTCCTGTTCAGAGGGTCTGCCAACCTATCGCCAAGGTGTGTCCTGTTCAGAGGGTCTGCCAACCTGTCCCCAGGGTGTGTCCTGGTCAGAGGGTCTGCCAACCTGTCCCCAGGGTGTGTCCTGGTCAGAGGGTCTGCCAACCTGTCCCCAGGCTGTGTCCTGTTCAGAGTGTCTGCCAACCTGCCCCCAGGGAATCTTGCCTAGTGTTTTGCAATCCTCATGCTGAAAATGAATAACGAGCCCTTTTCTGTGCTTGCAGTGGAGTTATAGATTATTTTCTATATCCCTTAGCAGTGAATGCCTGAGCTACCATTCCTCTAAGGAATTGGTTTAATGCACACTACCAAAATGTGTTTTCCCATCCCTTGTATGATAGCTATTGTGTTATTTTCAACTGAAATACGTATTTTGCCTAAAATAAAGAATTGCTTTATTCTTATCTTATAAGCTCTGACATTTTCACTAGGAAAAGTTTTTTTTTTTTTTTTTTACTTAGTAATCTAATCTTTTCTTATCCCTGACATAGTCACGGAGAAATACGTAACCCATATTTATTTCTCAGATCATCCATATAAATATTCTGGGCAAATAAATATTTTGCGGCATGCATCAAGAAACATTTTCCCAGGCATATTTGGTTTTTATTTGTTTTCCCAAATGTATAAAAATATTTTAATGAAGTGATTCTAATCACCTTCATATAACCACTGACATACAGACCTTCAGATAGCATTTACCTATTGTTTATTTAGATATTTGTTTTCCAATGCTTTTTTAACAGGGTTTTATGTGTCTTGCTTATAGGTGACAACGACAGAAAACCAGGTCTAGCAAGCAGTTTATCATGATTGAGATCTTTTGTAGTTGAAAAAAAAACTAATAAAAAACAAAAAATTAGGAAGGCATTTTAGGTATCATGAAATTTTGAAACCCATCATTCTATCTTCACCTCTAAAGATTTTGTTGGTAGTTAGGCAAATTATATATGCGCGTGTTTATACATACACACACATCAGGCAAATGCATTAGTCTGACAGTATTCTTAAGCTTGTCTTTCTTTTTCTTCTTTTTGGCATTGAAAACCCAAGTTTCTCTAAAATTATTGAAGCAGGGTCTCTGAGTAAGGATCCTTTCCAAAATATATACTCATTTAAAAAAATTTCATTCTGTTTACATTAATAAAAGGCAAAAGTTTCAATTACTGAAAATATTTGAAAATTACCATTCTGAGGCAAGACCACTGTTTTTCTTTTAATACATAGGGTATGGTTAAGCAGAAAGAGCCCACGAAGCATTCAGCCCTCACCAAAACCCTTTGCACAACGTGGAAAGGGTCCAACCAGGACACTTGATTTCTAGTCGCAGATTCTTAGATTCCTTATTAGTAAAATACATATAATATTTTTTATTTTTCAGAAACATTGGCCAATTGAGGGTGGTGAAATACTATGTCATACCACATAGAAGGTGCTTCGTAATGGGCACTTCTTTTTCATTATTACTTCACCACTGATTAAGGACCACACGTATATAAGCCTTTCTCAGGACGTAACACAGGCAACACGGAAAGAGCTGGCTTGCGAGCTCCCTGCTTAACAGAAGGCTCAGTTGCCCAAGTGACGAAGGCATTGTGGGGCACGAACCAGGCTTTGGTGAATTTATCTCATTATACACCAGGAGTTATAATTTAAAAACCAGTGTCATATAAAGAAGAAAAAAGATATGGTGAGATACAATACCATTAACACTTCTTCAGAAACGGATTTTAAAGCAGAACTTCCATGACTGTGAAATCCAACCGGGTGCGCGACCACGAGGAAGGATGGCGAGGGAGGAAACCGCGCTTTGTTGTTGAGGTGAGCCGGGTGCGCGACCATAAGGAAGGATGGCGAGGGAGGAAACCGCGCTTTGTTCTTGAGGTGAGCCGGGTGCGCGACCACGAGGAAGGATGGCGAGGGAGGAAACCGCGCTTTGTTGGTGAGGTGAACCGCGTGCACGATCCCGAGGAAGTATTGCCAGGGAGGAAACCGCGCTTTGTTCTTGAGGTGAGCCGGGTGCGCGACCATGAGGAAGGATGGCGAGGGAGGAAACCGCGCTTTGTTGGTGAGGTGAAACGGGTGCACGATCCCGAGGAAGTATTGCCAGGGAGGAAACCGCGCTTTGCTGGTGAGGTGAGCTGGGTGCGCGATCACGAGGAAGGATCGCGAGGGAGGAAACCGCGCTTTGTTGGTGAGGTGAAACGGGTGCGCGACCATGAGGAAGTCTGGCGAGGGAGGAAACCGCGCTTTGTTGGTGACGTGAACCGCGTGCACGATCCCGAGGAAGAAGGGCGAGGGAGGAAACCGCGCTTTGTTGGTGAGGTGAACCGGGTGCGCGACCATGAGGAAGGATGGCGAGGGAGGAAACCGCGCTTTGTTGGTGACGTGAGCTTCACATTCAGCGACCCGTTAGAATTCGTTCTGATGAGCAGGATTCTTTCACAGCGTTACATGAAGAGTGGGGCGATTGTACTTTGTGTTTCCTTTAGTTCTAGAGAAGAGTGATTTTTTTTGTATTTGAAATAAGTAAAGATTATATTACGTTGAAATGAGCATAATGCAGAAAAGAAGGCACTGAATTTATACTTAAATCATGGTCTGGGGCCTAAAATGCTTGCTCAAATAACGTAGCTCCAGTGCGTTTGAGGGTGTATACGTTTGAGAGAGAGTGTGTGTGTGTTTGAGCCTGTGTGTTTTAGTGTGTGTGAGAGAGTGTTTGTGTTTGAGCCTGTGTATTTTACTGTGTGTTTGTGTGTGTGTGTGGGAGCCTGTGTGTTTTAGTGTGTGAGTGTGTTTGAGCTTGGGTGGGTATGTATATTTGGGCGTGTGTTTGAGCCTGTGTGTTTGAGTGTGCGTGTGTTTGAGCAGGTGTGTGTTTGTGTGTGTGTTTGTGCAGGTGTGTGTCTGAGCCTGTGTGTTTATTGTGTGTGTTTGAGCATGTGTGTGTTTGAGTGTGTGTGTTTGAGCGTGTGTGTGTTTGAGCAAATGTGTGTCTGAGCCTGTGTGTTTGTGTGTGTAAGCCTGTGTGCGTCTGAACGTGTGTACACTGGAGGTGGTTCCCTGAGTTTACGATCCCTCATTGGCTTATACTGTTAAACAGACAAGCAGCTACAGATTTTGTTTGTTCTTACCTTTCGTATTTATTCCAGGCAACTGTGTCTAGTTTTCCCTTTGTTGTTGGTTACCTTTGCTGGACTCTGCTGTGACACACCAGACGTGCTAGCTGAGGAAGTGGGGTCAGAAGCAATATTCCTGAACTTTGGGGTCACCTCTCACCCACTGTTCTTCCCGGTGCTACCATAGCGTTTGCTCCACAAACCCTGAAGTCACTGATGGACATCACGCATTCCACTTTCAAGGATTCCTATAAGCTTATGAAGAAGGACAAGGCAATATCACGGAATGTTGAAATACATATAGGTGATCTGACAAAATAGGGTCCTTTACAAGTTACCTTAGAGAAGGGAAAAATGTACAAGAGCATGTCACACATTTTTTTGGCTTAGCTCAGTCTGCAGAAAAATTTAAATTTCCTTTCCTATGACTTTTGTTCTAATCTATCCTTAGAGGAGAAATACACCTGAAAGCCAAGGGAAAGACCGCGGGTGTTGGAATCCACGTGACTTCCACGGTATTGAACGGAGCTGCCGGGCTAAGAACTTCCATTTCTTTTCTCAGGGAACTCCCATCTTATTTAAGGCACAGAATAAGGAGTTCCATTAACTTTAGACAGGTTGTTTTAAATCAAAAATTAAGAAAAAATGATTGAAAACAAAGCCCTAAACTGGAACACATGAATTTTAAAATATATTTAAATTGTGACCATTGTGTTTAAACTGTGGTAGGGCTTGATTTTCCAAATCTCAGAATAAAATTTCTTACCGAATTCCTTATGATGTCCTAAAAATAACCCATTAAAATCACATGTAGATCTGGTTGACCCTGGCATTGGTCTGTGAGTTTTTGAATTCAGAGTCAGAAAACCTGGGTTTGAGTCTTAGCTGTAAGGTTACTGACTATGCAAGCTTGGTTAATGCGTTTAACCCTCTGTTCATCTTTTTCGTCAACTGTGGATGAGGGATTACTACAGCAATTGAGTCACAATCTGATAAGATGTGTGAAGAGACTATGCGAGTGTCACGTGCTCTGCCCATCTCTCTTTCTTTTGCCCTGGACTGGTCCTTAGCCAGATGCTTGAATACATGTTAGATTTATTGGCTTGCTTTTCCATTGCCCCCCGTCCTTCCCATAAACAAGTATAATGCTGCCATTGCTACTCATCCCTGCACCTTGCACAAATCTCTCTCTACCCTTGCAATGTGGATTTCAGTACCAATGACAGTGAGTGGAATTTCTCAGGTTGTTTATCTTTCCTGTACTTCTTGATTGTTGCACTACATTAATTAGAAAATAGAGGGCGAAATGATGGTCCTGGACCTGGTATCACAGGCTTAGGTTGAAACAACAGAACAAACACTACTGTGAAGTCATCGAGTCCAAGCTCTTGTATTTAGGTAGGAGAATATTGACTCTATCATTAAGTCAGAGTTATTAAGTTAAATTGAATTAAAACCTTGTAAAATTCTTTAGGAACTCACTGCCTTCCTTTATCGGTGTTTTCACTATTTTCTGACTCAGGAGAAATATAAGTGAGTGACCATGGTCCCTGCTCATTTACAAACTTACAGAATTTTTTTTAAAGCACCAGGATGCAATAAAATCAATGTTTTGTGTACTGCTTAATTGTAACATCTAAATGAACATTTAATGTACTGTGTTCTCCTACTTATTAATCAAATCAGTATAGATTAGGTTATTTGTGTTTTTTGCAGTTAATGAAAATGTCAAAAGAACCTTCAAACGTGAATGAAAATCCTTCCACTTCCTGTGCTGTGGAGAATTCCACTTACCGCTCTGAAACCAGTGATTCTCAGAAGACCCTCTTTTATTCCTCTGACCTTTCAGATAGCCGGTGGCTGCCCTTTTAATTTATACTTTTCCAAGATACTGTTATTATTCTCCTTATTTTTTTTCTTACCAACTTCTGTCATTCCTGTTCGGTAAAGTGCCCTTGTGTGATTTAATGTCTGGCAGTGGCCTGTGGAAACCTTTCGAGTCAAACTATCATCTTTTCTTCCTTGGCAATCTCCTATTCTTCAGGTTTTAAGCAATGACTAGTTTTTACATTTTCAGCACCTTATATATTTAATAGTGGATTAAAAATCCTGATGTGACTTTTGCTTTTGTCATCATGCATCTGTGGTTAATGGGCCTAATTTGTTTCGTATTGCAGTAATCTTTATAAGGAGGTTAGAAAAATTGTGCGGAGAAAACAATTGTAAAACAATGAAGCAGGAAGCCCTCTCCCCACATCTTTCACAGTGTGAAAATGCTAAGAAATGTTAGAAGCAAATTAGCCCTTAAATTGTCTCCTCATCCAGTCCCTCCTACTATGTTATGGAGAGAGGACACATTTCCAGGACAAAAATGCTTCCGCTGAGGACTGTTTCTATACAAAAACTCACCACCTTCCACGCAGTGTCTTGTCTTATCACTTCTGAACAGACCTTGGTGTTTGAAAGCGTTTAGAAATTTGCTTAACTCGCCATTTCCTGACATAATGAGGAAATCAATGTGTCTTGCCTTTCAAAATGCGTGTGAGTTCAGAATAATTCAACAAGAGTATGCGATGATAAGCAGAAATGAGACTGCAAGAATGTGCTCATCAACTCAGAATCAGTGATAACTGACAGATAAAACAATGTTAATTGACTAAGGGAGACCCTACAACATTCTGTATCTAGAGGAACAAACTTTGGCATTTTGTTAAAGGTTGATTTGGCAATTTTGAGTGATATTCTAGGAAACACAGGTCTGCTTTGATGCCACTAAGACTTTGAGTAGGGACACCAATGACTTTCAGATAAACATATACCCCTTTCCCTGTTTCCATCATCTTCTACTTATTCGAATAGTTTAAGGAGGCAAGCTGTCTGCTGATAGGGTGCAAAAGAACAGACCTCTGTGACCTTCCAGGAACCTTAAATCATCTCTCTGCAGCAGGGAACCAAGGGGTCGGTGAGTGGAATTAACGCCAGGTGTGTGCTCGTGGCTCAGAGCCACTTCCCTTTGGGGCGAGTATATTCTCAGCATCCAAAAGAGTTCCCACCCTGGGCTGTTCTATGGATGAAAATCCATCTTGGATTTTCTAATCCTCAAAAACTTGTTTCAATGCACATATTTAAGATGAAATAAACACGATTGAAAAAATCAAATCCATTCCTTACTTTTAAAAACTTACTGGCCGGGTGTGGTGGCTCATGCCCGTAATTCTAGCACATTGGGAGGCCGAGGCGGGTGGATCACCTGAGGTCAAGGGATCGAGACCAGCCTGGCCAACATGGAGAAACCCCGTCTCTACTAAAAACACACACACAAAAAAATAGCTGGGCGTGGTGGCGCACGCCTGTAGTCCCAGCTACTTGGGAGGCTTAGGCAGGAGAACTGCTTGAGCCCAGGAGGCGGAGGTTGCAGTGAGCCGAGATGGTGCCACTGCACTCCAGCCTGGCGACAGAGCAAGACTCCATCTCAAAAAAAGAAAAAAAAAGTAATTGATATGTTTTCTCAGCCCCCGACCCCTGCACAATTCTCCTGTCAGCTTCCAGCCTTTCTCCAGGTCTCTCACACCTGCCACCTCTAAGCCCACAACTCCAACACAGCCTTCCTAAATACACTTCCTAATGTAGGACAGTCTTACATTTACCAAAAAGGTGAAAGGACAGAGAGTTTCCGTGAATCTCACATTCAGCTGTTTCTACTGTGAGTATCCTTCTTTGGTATAGCACATTTCTTACAATTACTGAATAGTGTTGTGTTCTACAAAGATGAATACATTGTTATTTATTATTAACAAAATATCTATGGTAGTCAGATTTTCTGAGTTATAGCTTCATCTTCCCTCTCTCTTCCACATTATAGTTAATCATCTTGGCTCTCTAGCATCCTCTTGGCTGTGGCAGTGTGTGTGTGTGTGTGTGTGTGTGTATATATATATATATATATATATATATATATATATACACACACACACACATTCTACAAAACACCTGACCAATGCTCCTAAAACTATTAAGGTCATGGAAGACAAGAAAAGTAAAAAAAAATCTAATATATATTATATATTATAATCTAGTCTAATATATATAACCCAATATATATTTGTTTTACTTTTTTTGTCTTCCATGACCTTAACAGTTTTGAGGAGGGTTGGTCAGGTGTTTTGTAGAATGTCCCCTCAGCTGGGAGTGTTCTGATGTTTTTAGACTAAGGTTAGATGTTTTGGGGAAGAATAGAGTCCAACATATTCATTAGTCTGACTGGTGTTGAGTTCTAGTTCTTGAATACTGTAGTCCCAAAGAATAATCTCCTAGTCCCAGAATTTTCGGGTACAGAAGCCAATAGATGGTCACCACATAAAAGGAAAGCCGCAGCCGGGCACACTGGCTACACCTCAAATCTCCGCACTTTGGGAGGCCAAGGTGGGTGGATCACCTGAGGTCAGGAGTTTGAGACCAGCCTGGCCAACATGGTGAAACCCCATCTCTACTAAAAGTACAAAAATCAGCCGGGCGTGGTGGTGGGCGCCTGTAATCCCAGCTACTAGGGAGGCTGAAACAGGAGAATTGCTTGAACTCGGGAGGCGGAGGTTGCAGTGAACCCAAATCGTGCCACTGCACTCCAGCCTGGGCAACAAGAGCAAAACTCCATCTCAAAAAAAAAAAAAAAGGAAAGCTGCATCTCAGCACATCCCACACTGACACTGAGGTGGGCAAAGGCCTGACAGAGGCATCCCAGTCAGACGCCCCCAGGCTTCCTACTCCTGGGTTCACGTTCTGTGTAGTCCCCTCTGCTGTGTGCAGCCTGAGGTTGTGAATATCATGGAATGTCACTGTCGTGAGTAGGCTACTACTCAGTTCATCAAAAGGGAGATTGTCCTGGTCTCACCAACCTCATCGGTGAGTCTCTGGATGGGACTGCACCCTTCCTGAAAAAGGAATTGGAAACAAGAGGGGTCACACGGAGGAGCCCATGTGGCATGGAGCTGGGTGTCCTCTGAGAGCTGACATGGGACCGTTGCTGAGCCAGCGAGAGGGCAGTGGCCTCGGCCCCACAGATGAAAGGCAGTGATTCTGCCGACAACCAGCTGAACGTGAATGCGACCACCTAGCTCCAGAAAGAAACAGGCTGGCTGACACCTTGACTGCAGCCAGGGGAGACAAGAGCACAGGGCCCAGCTCGATCATGGACAGAACTGTGGGAAAGTATATTGCATGTAGCCTAAGCTTCTACAATGGTGGTAATTGGTTACACAGCAATAGAAAACAAACACAGACATACAGAGGCATCCCAGTCACACTCCCCATTTAGAGGAAGCTCCACAGGAAAACTGAAGCAGGGAATTGGATACACACCATCTGTGTCCTTTTTCACAAGGTGGGGGTTTAACTGGCTAGATTTGAATCCAAGAAAGTAATAAAAAATGGGTGGGCTCGGGTTTGGTTCAGAAAAACGTCTGTCTTTGCTTCGTTTCCATGTATTTAAAAAATACGTGGGGTTTTGTCTACCCTATGTTGATGTTTTTGAGGCCAGAAATTATTGTCTTTCTTGGTAGTATAATAAAATGGAAGGAAAGCTTTCATTCAGATTTCAGTTTGGAGACCAGGTCAGCTGAACTTTGGGTCAGAGTTGCAGTTTGGCTCAGTTTCCTTGGGTATATTCAATTCCTCAACAGCAAAATTCATTAAAATTCCTAAAAAAATGGATTATCTTTTCCGTATCTGCGAAGTATCATGAGGGTTGTTTGGCTTTAAGGTGAGAGAAATGTGAGGAAAGCAGACGCCCTTCCTCTGAGTCACCTGGTAAAGGGGCCCCCACAGATCTGTGAAGAGAACATGGAAGCCACCGTCTTCAGCTCCCATCCCTGGCCACTGTCACAAAATAAGCCCGCTAAAGGGTGTAAGCGAAGGCATCCAGGGGAAGGCGTGGGGGAAGGGTAAATGAATATCAGCCTTCCTGGAGGGCACTGGATGGACCTCATGGAAGTCAGAACTGCACTGAGTCATCGGTAAAAAGATTGATGACTTCTTTAATGCAGTCACATGCTTGCCAAAGACTCAGAAAATTAAAGTTACTCATCCAGCACTTTGCTGATAAAGTAGTAATTTTATAATTTTAATTCACTGGGTAAGTTTTTCACTCAATGTTACTTCAGAAAGGTCATTTATATGATACCAAAGAAAAGTGTACTTTGCAAAAACCCTCTCAAAATAGAAGCATTTTTTACCGGAAGTGTCAGGGGTCATTTGAAAATGCACTCAGTAAATATACAAACATTTTGACAAAGAAAATACTTTTGCATTTTTTTTTGTGTAGATGTAACCTCTGTGGGCATTTCCAAGCTTGTAATTAGAAAGATTTGTCACAACATAAATTGCAGGATCTAACTATGGGTACTTCCATACTTAATTGTGACCTTATACATGTCCTGTTACTTATTCTAGGAAGTAAAAATAGAACATATATTCCAAAAATAACAAATAACAGGCAAAATTGCAGATACACTCTTGAAATCACTCAACTGTGAAAATGGTTGACAAGCCAATGAATATAGTTTAGAGACCCAAGAAACCAATTATAATAATTTTTCAGTAGCTTTTTGAACTATTTAGTATCTGTGAGCAACAAAACACAGCATATATCAATGAGAAAATTGAAATGTTTCTGCTTTAACACTTTAGTTGTTTGTATTTCTCACATTAAAACTGGAGGCAGAAATGCTTGTTTCTGACTTACATACAATTTTCAGTTTCCACAGTTATTGTAATAATCTCATATGAAAAGAAAAATATAGCATATAAGAACATTTATATTTTCATTAACAATATTATCAATATGAATAGACAGAGTCCTGTCTGTCTGATTGATTCAATGTGCCAATCTTCACCTCAAGAATAAGAACATAAACATTGCTGGTCCCCCTTTTTGGCTTGGGTGGTCTAAGACCTCCCTGAGACACACTGTGACACTTGGCATGGTTTTGACAAATTAGTTCATGGAAGAAACACCTTTCATGGAAAGTAAACAAGTGACAGCTAATGATAAATTTCTTTGGAGGTTTACACACACACACACACACACACACACACACACACACACGTACTTATGGAAAATAATTGCACCGTGGGTATGTTTGTCTTTCTAAGGTTACATCTATTTCCTGCTGCATGGTATCACACAGGAATTATTAACAGCAAGAGTTAACATTAGCCAGATATAAAAGCAACTGCCAGTCAGGGTGTCCATGGGCTGCCTCTGCCGTCCTCAATCTCACTGCCTCTGTCTTCACATGAGCCACTGGCACACGGGCAGACAGTGCACCCGGGGGACTCTCTTCCCTAACGCTGTCCCTAATGCTGTAGCAAGGAGGCCATGGAAAACTACCCTGTCAATACCAATGGAGTGATCTCCATACCCACACCTAGATCCAGAGCCGATCAACATCATCAGTGAGGATATTTCAATACCTTTAAGAACATGGGATGGCAACCAGGTCATTTCTTCATTTGTTCAACTTATGATTGTAGCATAGCTAGTACATTCTGAGCACTGCATAAGACATGGTTTTACATTTGAGTAAGAAAAAGCTCTTGCTGCACAGAACTTACTGACTCCCTGATCTCAGAGAAAACCTGACCTTGATTACAAAACAGGGTCTTTCTTTTTTTAATCTTTTGAAAAGTTCTCTACCCAGAAAAGTCCACTTTGCACTCATGGTAAATCTAATCCTTATGGGATTCCTCTATTATTTTTATAATCTGTCTGGTGCTTTTTCATTTTCCCTCTTGGTACTGCAAATATAGGAATCCTTAAGCATTCTAACTACATAGAAAATAAGGTTAAAAATAAAGGACCTCTTCAAGGAGAACTACAAACCACTGCTCAATGAAATAAAAGAGGATACAAACAAATGGAAGAACATTCCATGCTCATGGGTAGGAAGAATCAATATCGTGAAAATGGCCATACTGCCCAAGGTAATTTATAGATTCAATGCCATCCCCATCAAACTACCAATGACTTTCTTCACAGAATTGGAAAAAACTACTTTAAAGTTCATATGGAACCAAAAAAGAGCCCGCATCGCCAAGTCAATCCTAAGCCAAAAGAACAAAGCCGGAGGCATCACGCTACCTGACTTCAAACTATACTACAACGCTACAGTAACCAAAACAGCATACTACTGGTACCAAAACAGAGATATAGATCAATGGAACAGAACAGAGCCCTCAGAAATAATGCCACATATCTACAACCATCTGATCTCTGACAAACCTGAGAAAAACAAGCAATGGGGAAAGGATTCCCTATTTAATAAATGGTGCTGGGAAAACTGGCTAACCATATGCAGAAAGCTGAAACTGGATCCCTTCCTTACACCTTATACAAAAATTAATTCAAGATGGATTAAAGACTTACATGTTAGATCTAAAACCATAAAAACCCTAGAAGAAAACCTAGGCAATACCATTCAGGACATAGGCATGGGCAAGGACTTCATGTCTAAAACACCAAAAGCAATGGCAACAAAAGCCAAAATTGACAAATGGGATCTAATTAAACTAAAGAGCTTCTGCACAGCAAAAGAAACTACCATCAGAGTGAACAGACAACCTACAGAATGGGAGAAAATTTTCACAACCTACTCATCTGACAAAGGGCTAATATCCAGAATCTACAATGAACTCAAACAAATTTACAAGAAAAAAACAAACAACCCCATGAAAAAGTGGGCAAAGGATATGAACAGACACTTCTCAAAAGAAGACATTCATGCAGCCAAAAAACACATGAAAAAATGCTCATCATCACTGGCCATCAGAGAAATGCAAATCAAAACCACAATGAGATACCATCTCACACCAGTTAGAATGGCAATCATTAAAAAGTCAGGAAACAACAGGTGCTGGAGAGGATGTGGAGAAATAGGAACACTTTTACACTGTTGGTGGGACTGTAAACTAGTTCAACCATTGTGGAAGTCAGTGTGGCGATTCCTCAGGGATCCAGAACTAGAAATACCATTTGACCCAGCCATCCCATTACTGGGCATATACCTAAAGGATTATAAATCATGCAGCTATAAAGACACATGCACACATATGTTTATTGCGGCACTATTCACAATAGCAAAGACTTGGAACCAACCTAAATGTCCAACAACGATAGACTAGATTAAGAAAATGTGGCACATATACACCATGGAATACTATGCAGCCATAAAAAATGAAGAGTTCATGTCCTTTGTAGGGACATGGATGAAACTGGAAACCATCATTCTCAGCAAACTGTCACAAGGACAAAAAACCAAACACCACATGTTCTCACTCATAGATGGGAATTGAACAATGAGAACACATGGACACAGGAAGGGGAACATCACACTCCGGGGACTGCTGTGGGGTGGGGTGGCGGGGGAGGGATAGCATTAGGAGATATACCTAATGCTAAATGAGGAGTTAATGGGTGCAGCACACCAACATGGCACCTGTATACATATGTAACAAACCTGCACATTGTGCACATGTACCCTAAAACTTAAAAGTACAATAATAAAAAAAAAACTAAAACTAAAAATAAAAACACTGCAGTGAGCTATGATTGTGCTACTGCACTCCAGTCTGGACAACAACAGTGGAGTATGTCTCTAAAATAAATAAATACAAACAAAATGTTAGTAATAAAAAAATAAAAAAAAAATTTGTCACGGCGTTATTTTTAAAACTCTTCTGATGATCAAATTGCAAAGATAGCTTGCTTATACGTATAAAAATTCAAAATTAGGTTTCAATACACCTTACATAAAAATCAATTCCAAGTAATTTAAACTATCAAATATGAATGACAAACGTTAAAACTTTTAGAACATAGTATACAAGAACGTTGTTTATCTTAGGAGACTTAACACTGGTTCCTAAACAAGATACAGCACCCTTTCTTTTTGTCTTTGATAAATGACATTTTCTAATTTGATAGTTAAGCATCTCAATCTTGTCTTTATAATTTGTGCAGTTTACTGTCTGAATCTCAGAGGCCCCATGTCCTTTTTCTACATCTGTTTTTTGGGTTGTTTCGTTTTCCAGCTCATGCTTATGCTGCCTTGTTTTCCTGAGTGCGTGTGTGTGTGAGTGTGTGTACATGTGTGTGTTTGTGTATGCATGTGCGTGTGTGTGGGATTCCGTGTGTGAGTGCATGTGTGTATGTGAGTGGATGTGTGACTGTGTGTGCGCATGTGTGGTGGGTGTGAGTGTGTGAGTGCATGTGTATGAAAGTGTGTGTTTGCTTATGGCTATGCTGGTGAGTGGAGAGTATGCGTGTGAGTGCGTGTGTGTGTGAGTGGATGAGTCTGTGTGTGTGTGACAGTGTGTGTGAGTTCATGTGTGTATGTGAGTAGGTGTGTGATTCTGTGTGTGTGTGTTCGAGAGAGAGTTTATATTAAGTCCTTGTTCAATTGTGCTTTATCTTTGGGAACACTGGGATTGTTGGTTGAACCACATTTCTCTCAAGTATTTGCCTTTATGTGTGTGAAGTGCAAACCCAGGATCATTTTAAAACAAGTTCATATTTTGAGGTTTTCTTCATGGCACATTGGCTGTGTGTTTTCAGGTCTCAACTCTGCGTGCGACTGGACAGAGGAAGCCATGAAACATCAGGGCACAGCTGCTGGGGCTTCAGGTCTCCTGCTTCTGTCCACATGCAGACCCTGCGCCATGAGAAGGCGCTGCCCCAGATCCCTGCAGTCCTATCCTGGGGAAGCGTATCCACACGGGGAACCTTCTTGGGGAAACCTCATCTCTGTTCATTTCTTACCCCTGGGGTTTCCTACCTTTTCCCCTCTCATTTATGAACATCTCAGTTAAGTATTTACAACATATCATTTAAAATATATATTCAACCCAGAATTATAATCAGTTTACTGTGTTATTGTGCTTAGGAATTTTTTCCTCCACACTATGAGAAAGACTTTGATCATTATTTTTTCTTGTTTTCCTTTTACAATTATATTTTCCTTCTCTTTGCTTTTTTCTTTTCTTTTTTTTTTTTTTTTTTTTTTTAAGATGGAGTCTCACTCCTGTCGTCCAGGCTGGAGTTCAGTAGTGCAGTCTTGGCTCACTGCAATCTCTGCAGTGACTCTTGTGCCTCAGCCTCCCAAGTAGCTGGGATTACAGGCGCGTGCCACCACACCCGGCTAATTTTTTGTACTTTTAGTAGAGATGGGGTTTCACCATGTTGGCCAGGCTGGTCTCGAACTACTGACCTCAGGTGATTCACCCACCTCAGCCTCCCAAAGTGCTGGGATTACAGGCGCAGGCCACCGTGCCCGGCCCTCCTTCTCTTTGCTTTTAAATTGCCATTTATTCTCTGAGTTCTTTGAAAATTTCATTTTCTGCTTTCTTCACTCTTTGTACGTACAGAAATACAATTCAGAGTTGTTTTAAAAATGCAGTTCAATAAATATTTTCAAGGAGTGTGAGAGATGATGAATGTAGAAATGAGAGTGTGTCTGTTAACAGCAGTGTCATGTTTAGCTCTGCAAAAGAATAACTAAATACGATATGAGCAAACCTTTGTTTTTAATACCAAATTACTGATGTATAGATGGTAAAACTGGAATACATTTCCACAGTCTTTAGTCTGGAATTTTCTCTATTAAAATCTGTATCCATATTATTTGATAATCTACAAATTCATATTTTTTTTTGCAGCAGGAGCATAACTGTTTTCTATAAGGCATCGAGGTTTAAATGCTTGATGACGTAATGTCATGTTATTTGACAATTGTTAAAAAAAAAAAAGGCAGCTGTAAGCAGCTTGTGGTGTGAATGACAGAACAGGAGACTTGCTCAGAGTGTTTATGGCCATGGGGACCCCAGCAGTGAAGGGTGAAAGTGTGGTGGCCAGTGGGGTGTGGTGGCTCTGAACGGCGTCAAAAGGCAGGCATGCTTTGTTGGAAATCAGAGAGCACTGTGGCTAATGTGGCTGCAAATCTCATCTCCGAATTAGACACACAGTTCCTGCTGCTCACTGTGCACCTTCACGGGCAAAGCGGTTTTCTGCGACGTAGTTTGAGAGCATCTACCTTACGAGCTACTCAGGAGCAATACTGAAAATTCAATCATTGAGCAGTTTCATTGTATACATTTGGAGAAACAGCATTTTGGAAGAAAAATTAATTCTTTTCACTCTCAAGTTAAACTTAAGTAAGCTTACCTGGAAGTCTACTATTTGTGTTAGACTTTTGTTCTACACATAGAGACAGAGCTAAATATCTTGTATTGAGGTGAAACAGGAGCATTTGAAATATGGTTTCACGGTAAAAAAACATTCATATTTTTTTCCAGGACTCTGTAGTTATTGTGGTATCTACAGTTAATATGTCATCTGTAGTCTATTATTTACAGTTAATATGTTACCTGTAGGTAATATGTCATCTATGATGTACTAGATAACATAATATGGAAGACGGAGGTAATCATCACAGTCTTGGGATACGAAGCAAAGCCGTGGAATTACTGACATTGGCTAAGAATAGTTTTCTGACTTTCTGATGTTCTAACTCTCCACTTCTCACCACGTGGAAAGCATATGTATTTTTTAAATTGACAATTATCATTTTAATCTCCATGAGGGGTTTAAAACCTTTGCTTGCACTGAATCAGTGTGACTTTAAGCAAAAGTCCATTTATTAAATCTTTTATTAGGCTTTTCATTATGCATGCTTGTAAAGATCTTAATAGAGATGTTAAGTAATGAAATTTTGCAAGTTTCTAAAATCTTCATAAATCTCCATAAATTGACTCTTTATGAGAAACCTGCTTTCATTGTGTCTGATTTTTATTCATATGCAACCAAAATGTTAATATACTTTAATTAGAGTTAATATGATTTATCTCTTCTCTCATTATGTAAGTTAATTTTCTTCTAAAGAAGTCCTGTTTTCAAATTCTCTCCAGCAGAGTCGAATTAAAGTAATTATACTTTGGCTCAGGAAATTAGTCATGAAGTTTCATGAATGCTAAAATAAATTGGAGTTTTCACAGGGTAGATTAGCCATATGCTTTACAGAAGGAAAAAGGAGAGAGGAAATGATTTCTGTTACTCTATTTCCTACTGAGGATGTCATCTCTGGAGGGATGGAAGGTGATTAAGCACAAGTTCTGATATTGCAAAACCCAGGGCAGATAGAATGGTCATTGTTTTTACCGCCTCCCATCGACAAAACCAGCTTAGAATGTACACATTTAGGATCCAGCATGAATCTAGCACTGAGCAACCAACTGGTCTGAACTCAACATCTGTTTCCGTAAAGTTTTTGGCTTCATTTGAGTGATGAGCTATAAAAACGTTCTAAGATTTACCAGAAATATTTTATGATATTATGTCTATTGTTGCAAGTATGGAATTTAAGATGGTTTTTCCCTAAGTTTTCAAACGATGCCATTTCACCTTATCCTCCTTCCTATTCCACCTTTGCAATATTACAAAACTATGTTCCCCAAGTAGCTTTCTTTCATTGTCATCATAAAAATCAAAATTAAATTTACAGTGATATTACTGTGTGCCTCTCTCTCACACATAAAAGAAATTTGTACTAAAACACCTTATAGGCTCTAAAATTTGTCCACAAATAATGGATTTCTTTGGTTCTAAAATTAAGAATCAGTATATATATATTTTAATTGGACAACACTTTAATAGAAATATCCCTTGTTATTTAAAAAAAAGAAAAAGTATTTCTGGAAAGGACTTCTATTGTGGATACCGTTTCTATCCTGGGCACACAAAGACTGTGGGCAAACAGAAAGCATTCATAGAAAAATAAACTGATAACAACATAAAGAAAGTAGAAATCCTGAGAAACAGAGAGCAAAATTCACTTCAATACTATACTGCTAATAGTATCGTATCATAGGGAAGGCTATTTCCAGTATTTTCTTCATGTATATTAATTTGTGTGTAATTTTTAATTCCTGTATATAGATGATGATTTTAAATGACTTAATTATTTGTTATGCTTCCTACATAAATCATAGTCCCTTACAGCTTTCTGATGTGTAATCAGTGAAAAAATCGTGCTGTGAGATCGTCCCCTTGGTCTTTCCCATGGACTGTTTATTGTCTCTTGTGATAGAGAATTAAGCATATCTAGTATTAGGGATTGCTGTGTTCGTGAGCAGGTATTTGTGGGAGCTTCTTTTGGCTGAATGATGGATGCTTCTCATACATTGTGAATACTTAATGATTGATGATAAACTGAGTATTTCACATCATGCTATTTATCATGCAGATTTCCTTATTAATATTTCTTAATCTACAAATTCATGGATGAGAAATTCTGCCTAGTGCTAATCATGCCCCGTGATAGAATAAGTTATTAAACATCTCTAGAATGTAGCATGTTAAGTATATTCAGAAACACGCCGTTCATTTTCATCTCTGAGATTTCAACATTTGCCCCTGTTTTTTAGAACATTAATACCAAGAAGGTCATAAAACATTGTGCTAAAGATAGTGGGTTCTGGAGTCTGCATTAGGTTTGCGGTTTGGTTAACTACCTGCTGGCTTTGCAGCTGAGAGTATGTTACATCCAAATTGTATTTTTCATCTACCAAGTGGATATAATAATATCTATGTTGCAAGATTGCTCTGAGCATTGTAGATAAAGTGCCTGCTCTAGTGCCTTGGACAGGGCAGGATCTCAGGATGGTGAATGCGTTCTCATTCACTCTTTCATTAACGACGTAGGCAACATAACATGGTGATTCTGCTGTGGGTTTTCCAGTGAGAAGATCTCAATTCAAGTCCAGTTTCTGCCTCTTGACATCCATGGAAAGCACTCAGCAGCTTTGTCCTAGAAACATGGTGCAGGCCAAGAAGGTGAGCCAGAGATTTAACTTCAGGCTTTCTAGTAGCCACATGAAAACATGAAAAAAAATGGGTAAAGTGAATTTTATCAATTTTTTAAAATTTTCACATGATGTATACATCATAATTTAAAAATGTAACCCATATAAAATATAATAAACTGTTTTCCATTCTTTTCTTCATAGTCTTTAAAACCCAGGGTGGGTTAGGCACTTTCAGCACACTTTAACTTAGAGTTGGCTGCATTTCAGGGCTCAAACGCCACGTGTTGCTCCTGGCTACTGTGTTGAAGAGTGTAGACTTCCAAAAACACCTGGCATCTAGCAAATTTTTTTCTGAATATTATATTTCAGAATACGTTCGTATATAATAAATACTATAGTATCTACTTATAAAACCAAAGATGTTCATGACCAGCCTGGCCAGCATGGTGAAACCCTGTCTCTACTGAAAATACAAAAAATTAGCTGGGTGTGGTGGTGGGCAACTGTAATCCCAGCTACTCAGGAGGCTGAGGCACGAGAATCGCTTGAACCCAGGAGGCAGACGCTGCAGTAAGCCGAGACCACGCCGCTGCACTCCAGCCTGGGCAACAGAGTGAGACTCCGTCTCAAAAAAAACAAAAACAAACAAACAAACAAAAAAACAAAGACAACAAGGTGTATTAGATAATGCACTTAGCATAGCCTCTGGCATTCTGTTCATGTTCACTATGCTGTTATATACTGTTATTGCTTGTGAGAAACGCTGCAGGGCCCCTTGGTCACAAATAGGATGACGATCCAGTCCTGGCTCTGGAGGAGGCTGATGGTAAACACGGACCTTTGGGAGTTTATTTAGATGTTGCTGGAGTAAATGACTGCACATGTAGCAGCAGCTTCTCCGATTTGCTCTTTTGGATTCATTCTCTTTACTTCTCTATCATGTTGTGAAGCCAGGGAGGCTGAATCCCACAGATTGTGTGTCTGGGCTCATGGTCGGCTGGAGTCATGATGGCTGAGCCAGTGGGAGGACCAACAGAAGCCAGGCAGGCCTGGGAATTGAGGTGGCAGAGGCATCCCCACGCATCTTCTCTGTTTGGACACCATGTCTTGGGGTCACATGGCCAAAGCTCTCTCTGGGCAGTGACTTTTCTATGGTTCTACCTTATAGGCTGCAAGGAACCTCCTGCCCGCCCTGGGCTTCCATCCCTGAGAGTGGTGGCTGCGTCTCACCTTTGCCAGGCACTCATTCCTTGTTTCTCCCCCTAACCGTGCCCACCCCTCCACACAGTCCCTTCATCACAGCCTTTGCATTTGAGCCATTTAACCACTGATGGTGAACTTGGCTTCCTCCTCGCACTGTCATTGAATCAATAGCTAAGTCCACACCTTTTCCAAATTCCCAAACGCCAGGATTTGTATTTTTATTTTATTTTTTTATCTAGGAGGTTCCAAGCTTTGCATTTAACTTTTGACTACTCATTTTCACCTCACCCTTAGAAGACGAGCACATTGTCAATGGGTGTGGAATTGCGTAAATTCCCCATTTAGAATAAAGCAGGTGAAGCAGGTGTTCTGGAAGCGGCACAGGGAGCTCGGTCCTCTCAGAGTAAAATAAGGAGCATGGACTAACGTGCAGCTCACAGGTTCCACAAGTTCAGGAATTTTTGACTTCTACAGTTTGGGGGAGCGACTTACAGGTAAAACAGTCGACTTGGGAGACCTGGACTCACTTCCCAGTTTTCTCAGACGTGCTCCAAGGCTGTTCCCTGGAGATGTAACCCCCTTTTCTACACCTTTGTGCTTGAAATTCCAGGGCATGGTCCCTGAAATCCAGCATACACAATCACAGGCTCCTTGAACTCAAGACTTGGAAGCCTGCCCTGGAATGAGATCTTCACATAAATTCCACTCTTAGATCCCAGAAGTCTTTCAGTAACCAACCCTTTACCTATTCGTGTCTCCTTTTTTTTCTTTTAATATTTTCCCTTAATGAGTTATATAGTAACTTGAAAAGATAACTAACCGTATTATTATCCTGTGGCTGCTTTAACAAATTAGCACAAACTGGGGGGTTAAAACAGCAAAAATTTATCTCCTCATTTTCTGGGAGGCAGAAATCCGAAATCAAGACGTTGCTGGACAACGCTACTTCTGAAGGCTCTAGGCAGCATCACAGCCTGTCTCTGCTGGCTTCTGGGGTTTCTGAGGATCCTGGTGTTCTCTGGCTTGTAGATGTCTTGCTCTCGTCTCTGCCTCCATCCTCCATGGCCTCACTCCTGTGTGCTTGTCTTTTATCTTCTTTTTCTTTTTTTTTTAAGACGGAGTTTTGCTCTTGTTGCCCAGGCTGGAGTGCAATGGCACCATCTTGGCTCATGGCAACATTTGCCTCTGGGGTTCAAGTGATTCTCCTGCCTCAGCCTCCTGAGTAGCTGGGATTACACGCATGTGCCACCACGCCCGGCTATTTTGTATTTTTAGTAGAGACGGGGTTTCTCCGTGTTGATCAGGCTGATCTTGAACTCCTGACCTCAGGTGATCCACCTGCCTCGGCCTCCCAAAGTGCTGGTATTGCAGGCATGAGCTACCATGCCAGGCCATTGCCTTTTATCTTCTTAAAGGACACCAGCCCTTAGATTAAGCTTCATCTTACGCCAAGGACAAATATGCCTTAACTTAAATTAATCTGAAAAGACTCCGTTTCTGAATAAGGTCACGTTTACAAATTCTGGGTGAATATTTGAGGGACACTATTCAATGCAGCATAGTTACAAAATCATTTTTATCATAATATAGTTTCTTCTCAACTTTTTTGCTCTAAATTTTATGAAATTTGAAGCTTTCTGAGCTATTAACATATATGTTCAAATTATACAAAGTTTAGTGTGTCAGTTTTTCATTTTTGGTAATCTTGTATTCTTTTTGTCTGCATACTCAGTGTGTACTATGGTGTTTAATAGCATTTTAAATATCTGTATTTTTCTTCAGGAGAACACATCAAAGATGAGATTTTCCTTTTAGGTTTGTCAGTTAATATCTTCTCTTTCGCCATAGTTTATTTATAGTTCCTGGCTTATGTAAGTAATAGGTTCAGTATTTTATAATGACACATGAGAACAGCTTATGAAATAAGATATAAACCATGGAAATATAATGTGCGATTTTTCTGTGGTTCTTTTAATAAACTGAATCAGACAGCAATCTGCTTGAAGATACAACTCACAGTTGAGAAATAAAATTTTTAAAGGTGGTAAGTTCCAAGAGAAAGAATGTAAATAATAAGCTTACTCTCAGGTTGAACTTGGGAAAAAAATATAAGAAATCTAATGACAAGTTTGATAATAAGTGGAGTGAACAAAGTGGAGATTTGAGAGGACCTATTTCTACAAATTACCACTTCATTGAATTGGAAAAATATTTTAAATGATATTTAAAATTTAAAAATATAGTACTACATATTTCTAGATAATTAAATTATATGGTATTATATATAAGATTATATTTAGTATTATATCATACATATAAATTAATATATATAATGCTACATTTTATAATACTTAACTAATATATATATGAATGCATTATGAATAACAATATACTATTAATATTCTATATGATATAATATATGTATATAAATATGTAGGTATATTTATATAATATGTATTTATAGTACTACTACATATTACCATAATTTAACTAATACTATTACCAATACTAGTTATATTAGTATATTATAACTAATACTAATAGCTCAGTATTGTAATACTAATAGATGTGTTTATGTAGATATATTTATATATCTATATAAAAAACACAATGAATGTATTGGCTAGCATCACATGCTATGAAGAATAATGAATGAAGCAGAGAAATGTGATAGAGACCAACAGAAGAGATGCAGTGGCTTTTTCAACATAGTGGCCAAGTGATGACTCTGTCATGTTCAATATGGTGGCCAAGTGAAGCCTCTGTGTCATTTTCAATATGGTGGCCAAGTGAGGACTCTGTGTCATTTTCAATATGGTGGCCAAGTGAAGCCTCTGTGTCATTTTCAATATGGTGGCCAAGTGAAGCCTCTGTGTCATTTTCAATATGGTGGCCAAGTGAAGCCCCTGTGTCATTTTCAATCTGGTGGCCAAGCGAAGCCTCGTTGTGTAGGTGAGACCTGTCCTACAGCAGGAGGGATGAAGGAGAGATGTCTGAGGGAAGGCCTTCTCAGAAAAAGGAAACAATAGACAGCAGGGGAAGATGAGTGTTTAGTGACAGGGATGTTAGGTTGTGAGTGTGGCCAGGGCAGAGCCAAGAATGAGGACAGTCACCTGAGACAACGCAAAGCCCGGAATGGCCATTTGGCCCCTCACATGCAGGGCCTTCAGCCACTGGAAGGGCATTGGCTTTTAGGGAGTTAGGTGGGAAGCCACACAGGGTTTGAGCAGTGGTGTGGGTGACTCCTCTGCTCCTGTGCTGAGAATCCTGTGAGAAGCCAGCTGTGGAGGTGGGAGACCAGCAGGAAGGCTGCCATGAAAACATAGACGGAGAAGAATGAGATGTGCCTGAGTGTTGGGGCAATGGAAATTGTGAGAACTGGTCCCAGTCTGGGTAAGTTCTGATGGAAAAGTCAACACTATTTGGTGACAAGTTTTTTGAGGGATGCAAAAGAAATAGAATAGTGAGGAGGAATTCCTGTTGAGAATTAAGATAAGAGCATCAATGAAAATATAGTAAGTCAAGAGCTACACTCTTTCATGGAGACCAACAGATTGTACAAAAATGTGTGAAATGGGGTCACTTGCATAATGGGATGAAGTGGAAGTGACACAGGGACCCCCACAGATGGTGGGAGCAGGGGGAACAGAGAGTTTGATGATATAAGATAAGGAGCAGGAGACTGAAATTTCTGCTTCTGATCATGATGGAATAGTAGAGAGCCACCTTCTACCATAAACACACCTGCAAAACACATGAAATAACAGTGTTCAGACAGTGGAGCACAGACTGAGTGCTGGCCAGGGCGCGGGGAACGAGAACTCTCTTTAATTCTGCTGGAGTGGACAATTGAATAGGACCTTTGGAAAACTGTGGGTTCATTTGCTATAAATTTAAACATGTTCTTAACATACGGCACAGTCATCCCACTGTTAGATGGTTATTGAAGAGATGTGAAACTTATGTGCTCTCAAAAACCTGTGTACATGAATGTTTTTAGCAGCTTTATTGATAATGGCCAAATACTCGAAATAACCCAAATGTCTGTCACATCCACTGTGGCACATCCACACGGTGGAATCCTATTTGGCAATATAGAAGAATGAACTAGTGATCTGTGAAGCAGCATGGTTGGATCTTGAATGCATTTTGCTAAGTGAAAGAAAAACTAAAAAGTTGTATGTTTACAATCCATTTATGTGACATTAGGGAAAAGGCAGAATTATAAAAAAGAAAAGCAGACTACTTGAGGGAAGGCTTCACTACAAAGGAGCTGCACCAGGAAAATTTTGGGGAGATTAACGGAACTTTTCTACATAGTTCATTTTGTTTTTTTTAGAGACAGGGACTCACTGATGCCTAGGCTGGAATGCAGTGGTGCCATCATAGCTCACTGCAGCCTTGAACTTACTTATAGGCTCAAGTGATCCTCCTGCCTCAGCCTCCCAAGTCACTGGGACTACAGGCATTCACCACCACTCCTGGCTAATTAAAAAAAAAAAACTGTAGAGACAGGATCTCTCGCTATGTTTCCTAGGCTGACCTTGATCTTCTGGCTTCCAATGATCCTCCTGCCTTGGCCTCCTAAAATACTGGGATTACAGGTTGTGAGCCACTGTGCCCAGCTTCTACATTTTGATTGTGCTGTTTACATAAATTTTATACATTGTCTAAACTCATATGAATATATGCTACAAAGATTGAATTTTCCTGTGTGTAAATTTTAAAAATGCTAAGTGAAATGATCAATTTCCTGGAAAAATATTAATTCCTAAAATGGACTCAAGGAATGGTAGGCTTGGATAGAAAAATAACTATAGAAGAAATTTATGAATGCAAGTCAAAAACACACATCCAACTGAACAGATAAAAGGATATATGCCCAATTGATTATCGACAGAGGCATAAAGTAAATTCAATGAAAGAAAACCTTTCAGCACATGGGTGCTGGAGCATTAGACAAAAATAGGCAAAATAAAAAATAAAAGAAAAGAATCTTGAGCTAAGTTTCGCACCTTTTACAAAAATCAACTCAAAATGAGTCATGGATTTAAATGTAACACCTGCAGCTATAACACTTTTAGGGAAAAGCACACACACAGAAGAAAACTTTGGGCCCTCAGGCTATGCAAAGCTTGACACCAAAAGCATTATCTGTAAAAAAGAAGATTGATGATTTGGACCTCATCAAAATCAAAAGCTTTTTCCCTGAGAAAGATCTTGTGCAAAGGACAAAATGTCAAGCTATAGACTAGGGAAAATACTTGCAAAATACCCATCTGACAAAGACCTTGGACCTAAGATTTATGAAGAACTCTAAGAACTCAAAGGTAAAACAGAAACATTCCAACTAGAAAATGGACAAAAGATATGAACAGACATTTCACTGAAAAGCATACACAGGTGGAGAGTAAGCACACAGAAAAATAGAGAAACACAAATTAAAATAACAATCAGATATCACTAAAGACCTGACATAATGGCTAAAATTTAAAAAATGGTGATGATTTTAAATGCTGGAGAAGATACTGATACATTGAGTCACTCATGTATTGCTGGGAGGAATGTGGAATGGTGAAGTATGCAGAATATATTTTGGCAGTTTCTTCTAAAACTAAACACGTACTTAACATATGACCCAGAAATCACTCTCACACTAAATCCTGCACTTGAATGTTCATAGCAACTCTATGTATAAGAGCTAGAAAATGAAAACACCAGAAATGTCCTTCAGGGGACGGAGGGTTAAAACCAACTGTGGTACAAACATCTTGGGAGGATCTCAAGGAAGTTATGCTGAACAAAGAAAGCTGATCTCCAAATGTTGCATATCCTATGTTTCCATTTATATAATGTTTGAAACTAGAAAATTGTGGAGATGCAGACAGATTAGTGGATGTCTGGGTTAGCAATGGGGTGGAGGGGGTGTGACCACAACGGGAACCTCCTGGTGATGGAGCCGTTCTGTGTACTGATTGTGGAGGTGGTGGCATGAATCTGCTCGTGGAGTAGCACTGCATAAATCTACACACACACCAAACCAGTGTGTATAAAACTAATACAATCTGAGTAAGCGCCAAGGATTCTATCCATGTCAAGTTTCTGGTTCTGAGGCTGTATTATAGTTATGTATAATATCACCATTGTCTGTTGGGGAAAATTGAGTCAAAAAGACACGGAATTGGCCAGGTGCAGTGGCTCATGCCTGTAATCCTAGTACTTTTGGAGGCCAAGGCGGGTGAATCATGAGATCAGGATTTCGAGAGCAGCCTGGCCAACATGGTGAAACCCCGTGTCTACTAAAAATACAAAAATTAACCAGGCATGGCAGAGGGTGCCTGTAATCCCAGCTACTTAGGAGGCTGAGGCAGGATAATTGCTTGAAACCAGAAGGCGGAGGTTGCAGTGAGCCAAGATCAGGAGATTGCACTCCAGCTTGGGCAAAAGAGCAAAACTCCATCTCAAAAAAAAAAAAAAAAAAAAAAAAAAAAAAAAAGACACGGGATCTCCCTGTGCATTTTCTTTGCAATATTCTGTGAAATTGAATCTATAATTATTTCAAAATAAAAAATTAAAAGAAATCTACTTGTAAACAAGTACTAATGAATTTTTGTGGGAATACCATCAAACTGCTCATAATAGTCAACCTAAGTCTCATTTTAGAACTTAATTTAAATTCAGGCTCCTGGAATCTCTCTGAATCTGCTGTCCAATTCAGGGGTCCAATTGGGCTGTCCAATTCAGGAACCGTTCATTGCTCAATTAAACCCCTTTAAATTTAGTTTGGCTGAAGTTTTTCTTTTAACACTTCCTTCTTTGTTCCCTACCAATACATCAGGAACGAATGCCACCTGAAATTGAGAATGGCTGCTTGGAAACATGCAATGACTTCTCATCACAGCAAACGCCCATGTGCAATGTGATGTGAGAATGGCTGCTTGGAAACATGCAATGACTTCTCATCACAGCAAACGCCCATGTGCAATGTGATGTGAGCAGGCAGATCTTAGCTGTGTTATGGACGGCTGGGTGCCACAAACAGTGCTTCAAAAGCCAGCCGGGGCCACAGGCTGACAGTCAGACCCAGTAAACATGGAACACAAAGGCAGCCACCTGCCAGCCCCTTGGAAGGCATCCCTGGTATTTGTGTGTTATTCACTAGGGAAGGCGTCCTGGTGTGAGCTGAAGATGCAGAGCTGAGTGAACCCTCTGCCCTGCACCCCTGAGGCCACTGGGAGCAGGTGCAGAGGGCATGCCATCTGGAGAGACAGACATTGGATAATGAATTGGGGACAGCCAAATAGTTCCAGGTCATATTCAGTGAGAGGCCTGCTGGGCCCTGGGCCTCAGGTTTCCAAGATGTTGAGTCTGAATAGCCCAGAGGCCCATAATTCTCTCTCTCCTTCTGGCTTTGTCTCACCCATGGCCAAGCAAGCCCTGGAAATTACTTCATGGTGTACCAGGAGCCTGGACACCTCATGGCCTTTTCAACACCCCCAGAGACGTCTGGAAAAAATCTTGCTAGATTCCCGTGCAGTGATTTTTCACTCTGCCGACCACTTACCTCCTAAGATTATCGTCAGCGTGGTTTATCATTTATCTCTGCCATGTGGCTGTATGTTAACTGTGGAGAGAATGACCACAATGGTCAGGTTATTGCTAAACAAGATAAATTGTTATAAATTATAATTTTCCTTTAACACAGTTTTAACAGTGTGTTAACTAATAAGACACAATGGAAGGAAAAGAAAAGAGCAGTTGCCAAGGAAACAGTAGGTTTCTAAATGAGCATCGCAATGAATAGGCAGGTAAAATGCAAAACTGGCAATGAAATTAAGTTCTCTCCCTATTTCAAAACCGAGAGTACCATGTCCTGCAAAAAAAACGACGGGACCTATTTTCTTATCAGCCTCCGTCCCAGATGAAACAATGAGTCAGAGAAGATAGAATCTGTTCCTCCTGACTGAGCTTCGTAATTCCCAGTCATAACTTGGGCGGTGCCTGCGCAGTAAATTATATCGTTCACGATTATAAGTTTCACTCATGCTCTTGTGTTCCAACTTCGCACTGAGAAAAACACAGTGAAGCACAGACCTCAATCCAGGACCAGCCCCCCTCATCTTCTGTCCATCGGCCCACAGGGGAAAAACCTTACGGCCTGCAGAACTGGAGTGCTCTCCATCTGTGAGCCACCTGGCCTTCCTCAAGTTCCTAAAACCCCGAACACTGACATATTCAAAACTACCCTTGAGATGTGTTTTCATTAAATGAGGTCTTAAATGAGACATCTGAGAATTGCCCGGCTGACTTCCTGACATAGAACACAGGTTTTGCCTTCTTCCTTCTTTTGGTTTCTTTCAGGTTAAAAATAACAACATAACAATCAGCTTTCATTTGGTCACTTGAGGCCATGCCTTTATGGTGACTGATGGTCCAGGGAAGAGAGAGGGTGATGAACTGAAAGAAAAACGACACTAGGAAAAGGACAAACGAGAAGGAGAACAGAACAGAACAGAACAATGAGAAGGGCATGGGGTTTGTGGGAAGGGAACACGCAGGCAGCAGGGCCAGCAGGGAGAGCCAGGAAAGAAGACAGGCCTGAGCGCCACGTGAAGCCACGAAGAGGCAGATCTTGTGAGTCTCTGGTGCTCCAGGAATGTTCCTTACTAATGCTGGGAAACTTACAGCAAGCCAGCAAATTAGGAAATAAAAGTGTCATAGTATAAATTAAAAAAAAAAGAAGAAAAAAAAAGCTCAGGTAATTAATTCTCTTGCCTGAGTGCAGAGAGTTCCAGTGTGGAGACAGGAGTCTGGGTCTAATCCAGGACCCATTCCTTTCTTACTGGGCCACTGCCCTTCTTCTTCCTGACCCCTTGGGAAGTCAGTGACCCTCCAACACCCACAGGCTGCTCCCCCACAGACTGATCCTCCCACCCCAATCTCCACTGCTTTCCACCCTCATGAACCATCTGCCTAGTTCTGTTTAACCCTAACTCTAACCCTGCTGGAGTATTAGTTGGAGCCTCAGTTGCTACAGAAGAGTCTGGCCCAATGTCTCCAAAAACCTCTTTCTGCGTCTTCCTGTACCCTAACTCGACCAGATGCCTTTGCTCTACCCACACAGGGCTCCTGGGTTCCCAAATCTACAATGTCATGGCTTGGCCCCTTTTCTACTCACAGTTACAGAGTTGATGGTGGAGTTCAAACTCTATTCCCACAGCACTCATATCGAGTGTCTGGGCAGCAGGGGCTGTATCTTTTACAAATATTTTTAAACATAATCCACACAGATCCCAAAGTACAGGAAGCTTTCTCAATGGTCCATGCTGATTTTGATACAGTAAATGAAACTCTCAATGAGCTTAAGGGACGTAGGGTCCAGAATGCTGGGCCTGGATCTGGGTTTCTGTGTTTTGATGAATGGTTTAATAAGATCATGGACTGTGTAAAATCAAACAAGCAAAACCCCCAAGCTTCGGTCACTCCAGGAATTAAGAACATGACACGTTGTTAGCTATGTGAAAACAAGGAAACAAAAAAACCGAAGCCGGACACTCAGTGAAGTCACTTTGGGAATAAAGAACATTCAACATCACGGGGTGCTGGGTTTAGCAGCAAAGGTTGAAAGGTCAGCTACAATGATGGACTTTCAGTGGGTGGAAAATTACTTATTTTGACCTCATTACTCAGTTATGAAGTAGAAAACGATACCACGTCCCCCCGAGGGCACTCCTTCTGGCTGTATGATCCAGGTCAGAAGTGGATCAAGTTTGACTTTTCATCTCCCCTTTCCAGACCACTCGATAACACTCCCGATCACCCATACAGTAGACTCAGGGGAAAGAGTGAAGCTACAAAAATATATTTGCTAGTTGTCTTGTTGAATTGCTGCATGAAGTCATGGATCTGCCTGAGGTGGTATAGGAAGATACGGATGATGCAAAGAGGGCCCAGAAATAAACCCTGGGATACAATAATATTTACAGGGGAACCAGCAAAGCAGGTGGGAGGGGGAAGTCATTGGTGTAGGAAAACACTGGGTTGTGCCATACCCTGGCAGCCAGGTGAGCGAAGAGCAGGTCTGAAACACTCAGCTCAGTGGAGATGCACACCCTGGCAGCCAGGTGAGGGAAGAGCAGGTATGACACGCTGAGCAGTGGAGAGGCCAAATAACATGAAGACCAAAGGCGGATCGTTCTCTTTGGAAGGTGATATGGTTCGGCTGTGTCCCCACCCAAATCTCACCTTGAATTGTAATAATCCCCATGTGTCGTGAGAGGGACCTGATGGGAGGTCATTGAATCACGGGAGCGGGTTTTTCCCATGCTGTTCTCGTGATGGTGAGTGTCACGAGGTTTGATGGTTTTATAAACGGGAGTTCCCTTGCACAAGCTCTCTTGCCTGCCACCCTGTAAGAGGTGACTTTGCTCTTCCTTGGTCTTCCACCATGATTGTGAGGCTTCCCTAGCCATGTGGCACTATGAGTCCATTAAACAGCTTTCCTTTAGAAATTATCCAGTCTAGGGTATGTCTTTATTAATAGCATGAGAGCGGACTAATACAGAAGGATAAAAACTATTGATGACTCCAAACACAGTGGATTCATAGAATTATGAGTTCAAAAATCTGATTAAGGTGAGGTCAAAGGAAATGGTGGGTGAAGAAGTAGGTATAGTGGCTAGAGCAACTAGATAATTCTTCTTTATAGTTATAATATAAAAACTATAATCACAGGGGAAATGAGATGTGATGGTTTTTTGCTTGTGGCAACAGTATATATAGAATAATGGGTTCTGTCTCTTTCTGTATTCAGTCCCACCTCTCTCTCTCTCTCACACACACACACACACACACACACATACACACACACACACCCCTCACCTGAATAATCTAACATGTGCAGACCCTGAGCCCTCATAACCACCCTGGAAGAGATTTGAAAAATCTTTGAGAGATTTGGACATATTTGAACCTCTTGCTGGCATAAAGTGAAAGCTTTACCAAACAAATCAAGCAGAATCAGTTAGAAAATAACTTATGACCCAAAGAAGCAGTGAAAATAACACAAATGCAAACACATGTATGCATATATACATACAGGACACAACTCAAATGGGTACAATTTAAATACACTTTCTTGTATCTCAGAATGGTTTTTGCTCCTGGCTTCCTTAATAATGATACTGTGATTGAATCAGTATCTTTGATGTTCACTACTACTTCTTTCCTTTTTTAATGTTTAATACTTTAACAGTGTTCTATGAAGTTCTCTGGTTCTATCTTTCTCTGATGTCACTTTTATCCTTTGTCATTTTTATTTCATTCATTGTATTTCACTCATCTTCTCTTCTACTCTAGAAGGCCCAGGAAATAAGTTTCCATATTTGATTCAAATTTGTACCATCAATACTTAGTATAGTAATGATCATTTATTTAGTAGATACATTTTTAAATATTCTTTCTCTTTCTTGAAAATATTAAAGAAGCAAAACTTTTTTTAAAAGAACCTGTTACATAGACATTTACTAATTCAAATTCACTGAATTTAGCTAGCCAGATTTTACTGTTTTGATGTATCTAAAGTGGTCTTGATAATTAAATATTCTGTGCTATCCTATTCTTAATATCAAATCTATTGATAAAATTATGATACAATGCTTGTCTCAGTGGATCATAGTAGAAGACTCATTTTTGATTAAAAATATTATTAATCACATTCTTCATTCCAAAACTAATTGTCTATAGAAAGGAATATGCACATCTTATGTATTTTGTGGTTTTGTTTCATTCTGATTTCTTTATTTTTAAATAAATTTTATTTTGCATAATTTAAGGTATAAAATGTGATGTTATGAGGAACATAAAGATATTAAAGTGGTTACTATTGTGAAGCAAATTAACATATTCATCATCTCACTTATTTACCCTTTGTGTGGTCCATGTGGCAAAGCAGCTACAATTTATTCATTTAGCACAAATTCTGAATAAATACAACAAAGTTCTTACTGAGAACCTTGCTAACTTAACTTAGTGAATTTGAATTAGTAAATATCTAACTAACGGATTATTAGATATTTTAACTAACAGATTATTTTAAAAAGTGTTTTACTTTTTTTTTAATGTTTCTAAGAAAGAGAAAAATGTTTATAAATGTGCCTACTACGAAAATGATGTTTACTATACTAAGTCTTGATGGTGAAATAGATTTGGTTTTACGTCTGAGGCTAGAAAAAAACTTTGTTTACTTCCTAAAAGGAAGGGTGCCTTCTTTTTCTGTAAGGTGACAGTGGTTTTCTTTTTGCTTCATTTGTGAGAAACCCAGAGACAAATTTAAAGCCTTATCATACCAAGTACATCCAGTTTATAGTTGGCTTATGTATAATTGCTCCAAAATACAAACCTTTGGTTTTAAGGCACTTTGAATTGATTCTGAAAAGGGGCAGGTCTGTATAAGTATAAGTAAAACATGTGTTTAGATTGGACAGTTTCCCATATCTTATGAGATGATTTTCTTGGCTGACAAATGGAAGGCAGATCAAATAACATCCCAAGCAATTTATGGTCTGACATTAAAAGGATGCAGTTGTTTTACAAGTGTGGATATGCATATGGAATTAGGAATAACATATTAATTTTTCAGCATTTTCCAAATCCCAAATTCTCTTTATAAAGCGGGAGGAGAGGGTGCTTTGTTTTCTCAGTTAAAAAGATGTGAATGTGAGCACTGATGCTCATAATGAATTTCTAAATTTATTTCCAGACCTATCAGAACAATAGGACAGAAAGTTTTAGAATTGCCTGTAATCGTTTGAGTTGGCAGAAGCCGGAGGAACATAATGATATAGCACAGCCATCGTCTGCCTTTCCAGCTACGTGGGCAGAATTGGGGAGAGGTTTTATTGAGTAAAATGCAAGTCTGTGGTAATTTAGAGGGAGACTTTCTGATGGAATGGGATGCTTTAATCCCGAAATTTTTATGACAGGTTCTGGAAGGAGCTCATTCAGCACTACAGGAGACACCACCCAGGTGTGTCTGCCCTCAGAAGCCACTGTATTGTGAATGGCGACCAATTTTTTTAAAAAGCACATCAATGTTCCTGATCCTGAGTTATTAGAGTCTGATTATTAATGTATTTAAATAAATCTTATGGCCAGGTCTACATGGGCATGAAAGGCAAACAGTTTCAAGGAATGATTTGAGGCTCTTGTACTTATAAAATTATCTTTACCTCCCTGCTTGAGGAGGTTTCTTTACCCTCAATGCTTAGTGTTTACAGCAGAATATCAACTCCTTACTATTAGGGACTGTTCTGCTTGGGCCACTCAACAGCTCCTCCCCAGCATCAGGAGAGGGCTCAGTTCATAGGAGACATCCACTTCTTATTTGTTGAGCAAGTTGCTTTCTGTTTTCTGGAAGCTCCTAGTTCAAATACAAACCTGCCATGTAGGAGGGATAAATATCAAACATAATAATTTATTAACACCTTGGTACCCCCAGGATTGAAGGAAATGTGCCCAAGAGAGAGTGTGGCTTCAGGGGCAGCAGTGACTGTGCTTTGTCTGAGAAAGATTAACAGAGGAACATGAAAAGAATGCTTATCTCTCCACGTGACATACAGCTGGATCTGGCCTTAATAATCAGTCTCCTGTATTTCAAGAATCATCTCTTCCTTCTGCCTCAACCTGCTTCTCAAAGTTGTCTAGTTCATTTGCAAATCAAGTGTAATGTTCTCCCATCAACTCTAACTCAGGGCATCACTTTCTAAATATGTAGAGAACAAAGGCCATTGGCCATGGCAGCCACACCTGAAAACCCTCTCATCTGAACACAGCTGTCTCAATATGCTTTCAACACGACTGTGACAGTGACACACACAGCTCCTTCTTTGGAGTCACTTTGGCCACCACACACACAGATGTATTGTTACTTAGCATAGTTCTTGGGATTGTCAGCTCGACTCCTAGGAGAAATGTCTCTTCGAAAAGAGACTTAGTGCTGCCTCCTGTCACCAGGGAACACGTGCACTTATCTGCTCTAAGAACAACACAGAAAGATCATACACAAAATTCACTGATGTTGGACAGATGAAAGGCTAGAATGCTCAGCATCCAGCTTTGGGGATAACAAGGGCAGATGCAGGTGGCTCTGAAGCAACATGCGGCCTTCCCAGGGCAAGACGGAGGGAGGCTGAGGCTGAGGGCACACTGGTACTGCATTGCACAGCAGCAGCAGAGTGGAACAGTTTAGACTCCAGGCTGCAACGCGAGACATGCCTGGTGCAGGGGCCACCTCCTTTATCCATCATCTGAAGGATCATGATAGTGACTTAGCATCTTAGAGCTTCAGGTACCTTATGTGTCAAATGGTGAGATAATGTTTACCTTGGAATATCCTTCTTCATAGAATTAAAGCACGTAAAACAGTTAACATTAGTCACTGAAGAAGTGGATAATATTACTTAAAAGTTGGAAAGCTACAGTGAATTGGTGCTGAGGTCATAAGCCTGGGTTCACATGTGAGTCTGCTGTGAATTAAGCCGAGGAATTTCAGTGTGTTCTGCTGTGAGTTAAGCCAAGGAATTTCAATGTGTTACTCAACTCCTCTTCCTTATGTCTTTTCAATTTCCTCAATGGCAAAATGGACAATAATCATATTCTGTATTTGAACATGTTAGGTAAGAAAAAGTTTTGCAAAATAGATATAAATGAGGACATATCTATATCTACATCTATATTTCTATCCATATGTCTCATCTCCATATCTCTTGCCATGTATTCATTGCCTGTAACGTGGATATTCCCCAATGAATGGTAGCCCTTAATACAAGTGTCTTTCCAAAGATTTTTCTGAATTGTAATTTTTATTTGAACATGATATTTCTTGTATGTAATGATTTCCTTTTAACCCAATCATCACATATAAGAACATTTAATTCTGAATCTCTCATGTGTGAATTCTATAGTTATAAAATGATAGTATTATGACAAGAAAAGGATAGAAACTCTTTACACTTCTTTTGCTCATTCAGAGCATTTAACCAGCTCAAATAATATCAAACTTTATTTCAATTTCATCTGTGTCTATATGTGCTGGAAGACTGGTCCACAACTAACCTATTCCATTCATTTCAGCCATCTTCATAACTGATACTGATCTCCATAGTTAATTGGGTCTAATCAATGGCTGAGAAAATTTGATTTCTCAGCTCTTGGCTTGGCAGGAGGTACCTGCTGGAGGTAGAGAGAATGGCAGCTTGGAATTAGTCCAGCAGAACAGAGATGATCTACTTGCTCCAGCAGAGAAAAGAAAATAAAAACAGAACCTCATAAGAAAAAAACAAATTCAAAAAAATAAAAACACTAACACTCTTGCTTTTATAGAAAATAAAATAGCAGCAGGAGGGGAAAAAGAGGAAATACAAACAAGTTATCAAGAGGAAAGGCAGCATTGCTGTGATAAATATATGATTACAACAGACGAATTATGTGGGGTTGATGCTCCTTACAAAACAGGTCTTCGATGGTAAAAAGCAAAACCAAAACAAAAGGTAAAAAACAAGCAAGATTTTTTCCTTTTCTTTTTTTTATTTCACCAACAGAATAACAGAGTCCCAGGGGCAGTGAGGGAGCCAGGGATGAAGAGGTGAGTGGAAGTTGCATTATGTATGCATCTCTCCATGTGTGAAATATCCTTTTGACCAAGACTTTTCAGGAAGCTTCCTTGATTCCTGTAATTTGTAACACGTTGCTTAGTCGAGTTCCCCATGACGAACGTAAACCTAAGACACTAGCTCAGTGCAAATAACACATTCAAGAATGAGATCCAGGGAGCAAGGGGAACAGGCTAGGAAGGAGACTCAGGTAATGAGGGAGGGCTAGGACAGGGATGCTCCCCTAAGGGGCTATGTGTGACTACGTGCTCACTTCCATAGATGACCTGGCAGGTGCCTCAGGATGGTGCATGCATGAAAGAAGGGTAAACTATTTATCCAATGCCTCCCATCCCCCATTGGTCAAAGCTCCTTGGCTGAGCCAGAATTTCAGGTCTAAATATAAAATAATCCCCACAGGTGAACCACTCCTCAGGGTCATGATAGAGGCCCCAGGGTAGGGGCCGGTGGACTCAAGGTGAATGCTGCCTGGTTATCTATGTGTGAACAGCTCAGCATCCCCACAGAATTTGATAACTCAACCTTTGATGGAAAAAAAAGTGAGATTGACGAGATTTGAGAAAGCCATGGTGTTACCTACTAGTGCATTACTTTGTTCTCATCAGATAAAATCTATATATACGTAATTTAAGAACTTTGAGAGTTCTGACAATGACTGATCTCTGTACTAAAGCACAAACTTCAACATGTGTTTAAATCTAATTAAAATAAGAGTAAGTTGAATTAACTTAAATGGCCAAAATGTCTGCTTTTAAGCCACTATATCGTAATTTCTCCCTATGTTGCATGGTTTTCTGTTCTTATTCTAACTGTACTCATTTTTGTGTGGTTATGCAGTCTTCTCAGTAGAATGTGAGTTTATTGAGAGCAGAACTGTAGTGTTTGTGACAAGCACATTGTATGTGCAGCCAGGAGCAGTTCATGATGGCAGTTCACTCTTCGGTGTATTTTTGTGCTTTTCATGGTCGTGTGGATGCGTCATAAGAAATAGACTCTGGGCTGGGCATGGTGGCTCATGCCCGTAATCCCAGCACTCTGGGAGGCCGAGGCGGCCAGATCACTTGAGGTCAGGAGTTCAAGACCTGCCTGGACAACATGATGAAAACCCGTGTCTACTAAAAATACAAAAACCTAGTTGGGCGTGGGGGCAGGTGCCTGTAATCCCAGCTACACGGGAGGCCGAGGCATGAGAATCACTGGAACCTGGGAGGCGGAAGTTGCTGTGAGGCAAGATCATGCCACTGTACTCCAGCCTGGGCGACAGAGCGAGACTCTATCTCAAAAAAAAAAAAAAAAGAAGCAGACTCTGAAGCAGTGATTTACTTGGAGGACATGTGCCAGGGAGTATTCTAAGGAACAAACCTGAAAAGGAGGGAGGAAAGCAGATCCAAGTGAAAGAACAAGTTGAATGTGATGAAGTCGGCTGGCATGGACCTCTCGAGTTGTCCCAAGACCACAGGACAAGGTACCCATTGGATACAGCTGCCTTTGTGGTGGGGGCATAAGCAGGGCAAACAGCTCAGCTCAGAGAAATTCTTGGAGAACAACACAGGAGAGCATTGAGGAGTCAATGATCTTAACATGATCTTAACAGTAGGGGTGGTCACTTCCTCACTGGGAAGGGTCAGGACCGACCCCCATCAACATTCACTCCTTTTGGGTTTCACAGTCTCCTTTAAAGGATTCTCACTAGGAGATGGAACCTGGACTTTAGATAGTGTTAAGAGGGTTGGAGGAAACAGTAGGATCTATGGGAGCCGGGAAACTCATTTCATACATAAAAAAATAAGGATAAAAAGGATTGATTTTTGCTATTAAAAGTAATGGCAAAAACCACGATTAACTTTTGCAGCAAACTAATAAAACAGTGAGGCGGGAACCACGATGTCTTACTGTTTCTACCTTAAGGCTGGTTCGTAGAAGAAGAATTGGATCTGTTCTATCTCTCTCAATAAGGTGAAAGGACAGATGTAAAAATGTTATATTCCTATATCCTATGAGAATGAGTTTTTAGATAAAATACCAAATTAGTGACCTATTAAAAAATTTGAATGTACACTATTAAAATTGAAAACTTATACTCTGTGGAAGGCATTGTTAAGAGAATGATAAGACAAGCTTTAGAGTTGGATGAAATATTTGCAAAACATTTATGTGATAGATTTGTATGTAAAAATGTAAAATGTACAAAGACTTAAAACCCAACAGTTAAAAAAATTCTAATATAAAAATGAGCAAAAAATCTGAACACCTCACCAAAGATAGAAAGATAGAGAGGTGGCAAATAAGCATATGAAAAGATGTTCAACATAATGTGTTATTTAGGAAATGCAAATTAAACAGCAATAGTTCACCACACACCTATTGGAATGCCTAAATTGCAAAGACTGACAATACGATTGCTGGAGAGGATTTGGAGCAACATAAATTCTCATTAATTTCTGGTGGAAGGAAAAAAATGGTATATTCAGTTTGGAAAACTTTGGAAAATTTGTACAAAGCTTACTTTTACTATTGGTGCAACATATGAACACCAATCATCTTCCGAGGTTTCAGCCAACTGATTTGAAGAAGTATGTCTACACAAAAGCCTGCACGCAAATACTTGTTGCATCATTATTTATAATCATCAAAAACTAGTGTCAAACAAGATGTCCTTCAATAGGATAATAACTAAACAAACTGTGAAGTGGATAATTAAGTAGTGGTGTAAGAGGAACTACTACACAGGAATAAAAATAAACTGTCAAGCTATACAGAGATATGAATACTCTTTAATGCAAATTTCTGAGTGAAAGTCACTAGTCTGAAATAGCACCATCTCTTTCTGAGCCCCTTGATAGGACATTTTGGAAAATAATACCATAAGGATGGTAAAAAGGTCATTGGACGTCAGGTTTCTGTGGGATGATGAGTGAACAGGGAAAGCATGCAGGATACTCTCAGGGTGGTCAAACTGCTCTCTGATACTGCAACGGTAGAGGTATGACAGAATGCACTTGTCAAAACTCAGATCTTTAGAGCACAAAGAGAAAACCTTAAGTATGCATTTTTAAATGGATATTTAGGCGGTTGAGAGATCTCAGGATAAAAAACAGAATGTGACAAAAATATATAACTGCATCATCAACAAAGGAGACCATCTTGCTAAGGAAGGTCGCATGGAAATGTTGAGCTGAATGATTTGGAGATGAGTGGGATGCAAGACTAAAGGCTAAAGGAATTGTACATTAAAAAAAAGATCTTTTAATTGATAGTTTTTACCTACAGGAAACAAGTTGACAAATTCTGAAACCACTCTACATGTTCACTGGAATTGAACAATTAAATAAATGAATGGTGGATGACAGGGGCCACTTTTCCCACTATTAGAGTGAGGAGATTACAGATAAGCGAGGAGAGGAAGCTAGAGTGACCCAGGTTGAAACAGATTAGACTTGGAGACATTACTACAAATGCATGTTTATCTTACTACAGATACAAATGATTATATCCAGAAATATTTATAGATAAGTCTATTTACACACGTCTTCTTTTTCTCTGTCTGCCAAGAGAATCTAGAAGTAATGATTTCCCAGTAGCAATGAGCACACTAAGTCTTAAAATATGGTTTCTAATTCCATTCTGCATAACACAACTTATTGGCAAAATGGCTGATTCTAGGACCAGGGTAGGAAATGTACAAGACAAGTCTAGAGCATCTGGTAATATCAGAAAGTAGAAAAGTGCTACACATGCACACACACATACACACACACACACAGTGATGGGGTGTGTCAAAGGGTCACAAGAGTTAACCAAGAATATCTCAATGGGCAAAGCTTGAACAACTTGAACAACAAAATATATGCATTAGTATGATTGAATTTTAATGCAAAATATAAAATTAATATATATAAATCCACACATATAAATAAGAAGAATAAGTAAATAAATGGAGAAGAGACAAATCTTCTTTGCAGAAGAATTCCACATATTATTTGATACCCCACTGTCAAGGAGGTGAAGTATAATTACCTGTGGCTGTGGACAGTGGCTTCTTCCCAAAGAGCTCAGTATTGAAAGGGGGAAAAATGAATAACCCTGCAGGGGAAAAGCTTGACAAACAGGACCTCTGCCAGGTAATCAAGTTCAACATCAACAGTGACTTCATGGTGGTGTCACAGGAGGAGTGCCTTATCTCTGCCATCTCCCTACAAAACACACATAATCTGATTGTGAGAAAAATATCAGCTACATTCTGCAAAATCTAGCCACAACTGCTCATAATTATCATTGCCTTTCAAAACAAGGAAAGACTGAGAAACCATTGTAGCCAATCAGAGACTAGGAGCCATGACAATTAAATGGAATGTGATATTCTTGGGATTATGGAACAGAAAAGAGATATTATGTAGAAATCTGAGAAAATCTGAATAATGTGCAGAATTCAGTTAATGAGGCTGTATCGATACTGGTTCATTAATTGCGGGAAATATGTCATGCTAATACACTCTACCAGTAAGGGAAAATGGGTGTAGATTACATGGATGCTTTCTCTTCACAATAGTTCCATAACTAAAACAACTATTCTAAAATAAAACTGTATTTAAAGAAACAAAAATGTTATAGAGCATCATGATTTCATTTAATATAACATATGTGAGTTATATTTTTAATGTGATGAGCAGTTTTAAATAGTACCAACCTAGAAAATGAACTGGTGTAAATCTAAGATAGCTTCAACTCACAAATGACTTGGTAATTCCAAATTAAGAATTAGAAATAATAATCCTACTGAATAGGTAAATTAAATATTTTTTAAAAAATTTAAGATAAAGAGGCAGATGTGTTTGGTAAAATATGATAGACTTCCTCTGTGAGGCTTGACTTGAACTTTAAGTACTCTTTCTTTGATAGGTAAGATTAATTTCCAGGATAGAGGAAAAGCACCACCCAAGATGTGGGAACAGAAGTTAATATGGTGTCCTGAGAAGACAGCAGTTTTGATTGAGGCTAAGTTTACTTGTTTCTGTATAAGTAATACATACATCTGAGTTATGAGAGGAGGGTTGGTAAGCAGACTTTGACAGGCACCATGAGTAAAAATTTTCCTGTAGTACAATGAGTCATTCAAAGGGAAACAGAGAGATGGAAAATTAATGAGAGCAATTTTAGAATAAGGACATTCATTACAGGACCATGTGTATGCTTTGAATTAGAATGGGAGACAACGGGAGAACAAAAGGATCCAAAAGGTATTCTTTTGCTTTTTAATTGTTCCCAAGCTTTCACCTCCAAATAGCACATGGTACAGCAGCCTCTAAGTGACACAACCTGAGTCATCTAAAATGCAGTCTTAGAAAGTGAGATGATGAAGCTGTTCAGCTGTTTGGCCATTAGTAAACCTCACATTCATTACAATATTACAACCACAATAGCTGGTGAATTATGCAAAATCAAAGTTACTCACCATCATTTCAGGAGTAAAAGGCTTTCTTCCATTTAAGCATTTGGTGATAATATAAATTTTAAAGACAATTGTTGTGAAAGAATTACGTAAAAGATAACAATCGAAAGCCATCAAAATATGCTTTAAAGTATAAGGAAAGTTTTGAAAAATGAAAAAGTAGGTGAGATTGACAGTAAAAAAAAGAAAAAGCAGCTGTGAGACGACCGCAACAGCTTGCCTATCTGTGTCCTAATTCTGCCTATCTTTCTTTTACCAGGTCAGCAGATATTTTTGTATCAATTACAAGCCTGTGTGTTTTTTTTATAAAGCAATTATCTTCTATCGTATGCAACAAGCGCAAGAGATAATAAAACATATGATAAACATATAGAGTTCATAAAAGCAGAGCAAACAGAGAGCAACAAAAATTATGAGAATGTGAATTAGTCTCATAATACAGAAGAGCTGTAATAAAAGATGTCTGCCATTTGTTTGATGTTTGCTTTATTTCACATTCATAATCAGCTGAGACTCAGATTTGTTAGTACTTTCTGGTTATTTTATCAGACTCAGAGCTAAGTTCTGTGAATAAAAAGATCTTAATCCTAGAGTGTTACCAATACAGGGGCAAGCTGCTCACCATATTGCAGCTGCATGAGGCTGTGATTTCAGTTGGGACAATCCAGAACTTGGCTGGATTTTTTTTAATTCTTGGAGAACTATGTGAGCATAGAGAGCTTTGAACATCTGAGGCACATTCTTTGGGAACTAGAAGGCTGTGTGTTTGTGCAAGTTTGTGTATGTGCCGAGGAAAGACCTAGGGAGGAGAAGGACTCAGGCACTCTTCTCTGGCTCACCGTGAGGCTCTGGCCAAGCAGTTATGAAAGCAAAGTCTGTCTTGTAATCCTTCTGATGCTTGAGGTATACCTTGCCACACAGATCCTCTTGGCCAAAGGTAGAAGACAAACAGTGGAGATGTTTAAGAAAATGTTCTGATCAATCTTTGGAGGACTACTTAATTATACTAACCCAGGTGAACCCTAGGAAGCCAGACTTAAAAATAAAAATGGACAACTTAAAAAAAACAAACATTTGGCCAGAAACATTAATGGCACACTCTTGGGAACATAAAAGCTACAAAATTATTTCAGAAAAGTAAATAAACACAAAATCATCAACAAGAAACACAAAATCAAAAGGCAAACAAAACTCCTAACAATAAAACAAATTTTGGGGAGGAATATGAAGAGTTGTTACAATACAGTCTTAAAAAAGTCCAATTTTCAGCAAAGCCTTCTATCTGTTTAAAAGACAATTGCATAAAGTAATAATCATACTACAGTGTTGTTGGAGATATATTGTATAAATATGTAATTTGGATGACAAAAAGAACACAAAAGCAAAGGATGAGAACAGAGGTATATTAAAGAACAGTTTTTGAAAACCATTGAAATTAATATAATGTTAATCAGAACTAGACTGTGTTAAGTTAAAATGCTGATTGGAAACCTGGGTGAAATACAGTAAAAGAAACTATGAGGAAATAAAAAGGAGCACTAGAAAATATATATTTAGTACAAAAGAATTCTCTGTAATCAAGGAGTAAAAGAACAATGCAACAACAACAAAGTCACTAAGAAAAATAAAAAATAGGACAATGGCAGATACAAATTCTATCATGTCAGTAGTTATATTAAATGTGAATGAATTAATTATGCAAATAAATGGCAGAAAATGGAAAAAAGAGTAAAATTTTAATCCAACTATATACAGTCTATAAAAGATACAGTATAAATTCAAAGAGAGAAATAGGTTAAAAATAAAAGGATGGAAGTGATAACACAATAAACCTTGTAACCAAAAGATAGCTCTGGCAGTTAATCCTAATATTTGGCAAAACGGATTTTAAGACAAAAATTTTAGATGTGATAAAGAAGGATATCATGTATCTTTCAGGATCAATGCATCAGAAAATTATAACAATTATGAACAGTATTTACTTAACAAAGGTACTCCGAAATATATGAAACAAAATGGAAAGAATTTTAGGAACCAATACAAAATTTAACAATAATAGAGACTTAAAAACTCAATAATGAATAAAATAACTGGGCAGAAAATTAATAAGAATGTAGAAGATTTGAACATTAAAAACCAGTTCTGTCTAAGAGACATTTCCATGACACTCTACCACGAAAGGCAGAATTTTCATTCTTTTGCAGTACACAAGAAACATTCTCCTGAATAAATATACAATATGTCATAAAACAGGACTTCATAAATTTAAAGGAATGAGTATCACACAAAGTATGTTTGCTGATCACAGAGAAACAAAATCAGACATAAACTACAGAAGGAAATTTGCAAAACCCACAACTATGTAAAAAATAAACCACAGACTCCTAAATAAGCAAGAGATCATAGAAGTCACCAGATAAATTATGAAATACTTCAAAGTGCATAAAAACAAAAGCATGACATATGCAAACCTACGTTAAGCAGCTAAAGCAGTGTTTAAATGAAAATGTAGAGCTGTAAACAGCTACATTAAAAAAAACAGATTTCATGCCAATAACCTAATGAACATCTGACACATATTATTTGGGAAGTAGAAGGTTGTATGCATGTGCAAGTTTGTGTACGTTCCAGGGAAAAGAAGGACCCAGACGCTCATCTAGTTACCTTAAGAAACTAGAAAACAAGAGCATTCTAAATGAAAAGCAAGCAGAAAGAAGGAAATAATAGTGATTACAGCTGACTAAATGAAATAGGAAATAGGAAAAAAAAAAAAGTTAACAAAACCAAAAGGGTATTTTGAAGGATTTTTTTAACGGACAAAATGTAATTATACTGACAAGAAAAAAAGACTCATATTTCCATAACCAAGAATGGAAAAGGGAACATCACTACAGACATTACAGAAATTTTAAAAAATATATAAGGGAATATTATGAAAAGCTCTCTTTCAAAAAGCTAGGTATATTCTCAGGAAGAACAAATTTCCAGAAAGACCCAAACTATTGAAACTGGCTCAAGAAGAAACAGAAAATCTGAAAAAATCATAACAAGTGAAAAGATGGAATTAGTAAATAAAATCATTTTACACATACACAAATCTAAGTTCCAAATGGTCTGTGGTAAATTCTACCAAACATACAATAAAGAATTAACACTATTCCTTCTCAATTTTTCCAAATAATAGGAGAGTTGACAGGACTTTTCAACTTATTTTCTGATGCCAGTATTACTTTATGACAAAAACCCAGCTACAGCCATCATGAGAACGTAATACTGCAGAACAATGTCTCTTAGGATCAATAGATACAAAAGTCCTCAAACTGAATCCAACAACATACAATTATAAAAGATTGTATACCATGACCAAGTACGATATACCTCAGGAGTGAAAAGTTGGTTTGAATTACAAAAAAATCAATAAATACATTAGGCAATGCTGCTACAGTAAAGAAGTAAATCGCAGGATTATCTCAATTCATGAAGAAAAATCATTTGGAATGATTCACCACTCATTCATGATGTAAACATTCAGCAAACTAGAAATAGAAGGAAACATTTCAACCTTATAAAGGATATGTTCAAAAAACCCACAGCTTACATCACACATAGTAGATAATGATGGATTATTTTTTTTCTTAAGACAATTAAAAAAGACAAGATTTCCAGTCTCCCTATTTCAATTCAACATTGTGTAGGAAGTTCTAGGCAGGGAGATTAAGCAAGAAAATAAATAAAGTCATCTACATTGAAAAAATAGCAGTAAAACTCTCCTTGCATATGACATGAACTTGTACAATGAAGATTCTCAGGAATCCCATAAAAACCATTAGAACTAATAAAAGAGTTCAGCAATGTAGCAAGAAACATCAATATACAAATATCAATGGTATTTCTATACACTAGCAATGAATAATACAAAAATACAATTAAGAAAATGACTTCATTTAAAATAGCATTAGAAGAATAAAGTACTTAGAAATAAATTCAATGAAAGAAGTATAAGGCTTGTATACTGAAAGCTCAACAACATTGTTCAAAGAATGTAAGAAACTTCTAAGTAAACAAAATGGCATATCATGCACATGAATAGAAAGACAATACATGGAACTGAAATTGATGTGCAGATTGAACAAAATCTCTATCAAAATTCTGGTTACCTATTTTGCAGAAATTGACAAATTGATATTAAAAAGTATATAGAAATGCAAGGAACATTGAACAGCCAAAACATTCTTGAAGAAAAAGAACAAAATTGGGTGACTTGTAATTTTCTATATCAAAACTTACTACAAAGACACAATAATTGCAACAGTGTTATACTAGCTAAGGATAGAAATATAGAAGATCAATGAATAGAATTGAGAATCCATGAATGAATCCTTATATTGAAGGCCAATTAATTTTTGACCAGGGTACCAAGACGATTCACTGGTTAAAGTTAATCTTTCCAACCAGTGGTGTTGGGAGAACTGAACATTGTATGCAAAAGAATGACTGTGTACCCCTACCTCACACTACATACACAAATGAACTTGAAATGGACCACATAGCTAAATATAGGAGCTGAAACTATAAAACTCCTAGAAGAGAGCATATAGAGCAAATCTTTCTGATCTTGGATCAAGTAAATTTAAAAGATATACCAAAACCACAAAATAACAAAAAAACTCATCGATAAATTAGATGTTACCAAAAAAATGAAAATTTCCACTCTTTTTCTGTACTTCCTTTTATTACACATAGACTTAACCAGCTGGAGCCTCATTATGAACAATATCTTTTTCTTTCAACTGATAAAGTTTTTAAATATTTGAATACAGATAGGGTAGTATGTTTAGACATTGTTTATTCTATCAACTATTGATTTGAAATGATATTTTAAATAGAAATAATGTAAGCAAAAAATACTATCTTGGTTATTCAGAATCACTCTGAATAACTTACTGAGCTGCCTGAGGAATTGGAGGAGCACCCAAAGTTTGGGGAGAATAGATGTGGCATAGAAGCTCAAGGATGTGTGGATCCTACTCAAGCTCCTTTCCACGTTACAAGCTGAGTTGAATAGGACATTTTAGCTACCCACCCCAAGGAAGAGTTTCTTATTTGTATAATATGTAATAGTGAAGTTAAACCCAAACATGCAATATTGTTTAGTACAATACCTGGCATAGACTATTTGCTCAAAATTTATTAGCCATTAGTATTAATATATCTAAGTTGCTATTTATCAAGAGGGAAACATTTGTTGACTTAGTACTATGCAGACTCTTTATATTCATGGTTTTTATTAAATCTTAATTTAAAAGTGATTCACTTCTGTCCAATCTTACTGTCCCTCTCCCAGTCCGATTTATTTTCACTTCTTATCTGAAGCACTTCCACGCTTCTAGCTGGTCTCCTAGGATCTATCCTAGTATATTCTCCACATAACTGTCAAAATCTTTCCATAGAAATTTTAAATCATTTTTGTGCTTAAATTCCTTCACAAATTTCCTGCTTCTTTCTCTTGGGAAAAAATTCATAACCTCTTCAACCCTGCCTTAATTTCTCCTTGTTTCCCAGGTATCATCCCTCTGCGGAGGCCACTCTGGCTCTGCTTCCATGCAGTTAATGGAGGAGTTTCAGAGTGCATGCCCCCTCCTCAGGGTGCCTCTCCTCCCACGGCATCCACATGCCAGTGGGCTGTTTGTTTCTTGCTCCCGAATTACCACATGGGCCCCTGTCAGCATGCTCTCTGTACAGTGGGTTGTAATTACTTCTTTAAAGTATGTCTTTCCTGCTAGTCTCCAAGCTCCCATGAAAACAAAGAATAGTTATGGTGGCATTGCCCAGCCAATCCCCAGTAATCAGCCCAGTCTGGCACTTGTGAAATGGATGAACACAGTTTTCAAGGCTAGGTGCATTTTATTTCAAAATGCCCAATGCTCTTCCTGTGCATGCTTCCCGCCGTTAGCATTGCACAGGCAAAAAATGGTTCACTTCAGATAGAGAGTATAGAGCATTTTCCTTTTTATTTCAAAAGATGGTATCATGAAATACATAAAGAAATTGCACATTTCTATGCAGAGATCTAAAGCAGCATCTGTAACAAATTATAATGAGAAAATCAGACGATTTCAAGAGGGAGTGATAGAGGAAATACGTTCAACTCTATTTCCAATTTTTTGCAGCTAAGGAAAATGACATTTTAACAAATATATTTGCTCTCCTTCCCTCGGCAGCTTTGTGTGATTCCAGTTGAAGTCGGATGAAATGTGTGGGCTACCTGTTGGTACAGGTGGAAGGTTGCCTTCTGTTTTTCTTTTGTGATTGGTTCTTCCTTTCACACCTCCTGATCATTTGGCAGTTGACTTCCCATTTGAAAGGGCTTCCTCTGCAGGGTTCCCGATTGCTTAGCAGCTCATGGCTTGTGAGTATGTCTCTGTATCTTCCCTGATCCTGCAGGTGCATTAGCAAGACAGCTGTGGCACTCTCACCTGGACTTCGGTGTATAACAAAGCTCTCTTGCGCTGCTGCTCTACCCACACGGGAGCTAAGGCGCCAAATTTTTATCTTTTTCTTACCTAAACATACTTCTCCTGGCAATTACTTTTCTCTTCCTTCTGCAACAGGGAGAGAAACTCTCTCCCTGTTTTATTTTACTTTTTTAAAAAAACAAATTTTGCACTGTTTTTGTGTGTTTGTTGGAACGTTAGAGGAAAGTAAGTTGGAAAGAAACAGTTGGGAATAAGAAGCAAATATTGAAGATGAAGGCGAGAAATACGTTTCAATTACTTTTGGCGACATTTTGCTAATTCAGACATGTGACATTTAAACTTAGTGAAATTACACATCGAATTTTTGAGGTACAAAACAGTATGGTGGTTAAGAGAATGAATGCTGTTGTGGTGCGGGAGCTCCTATCTGTGCTCTGTGATTTACCACCTGTGTGACCCTGGGCCTGTTGCTCAATTTCTCTGGAACTTCTGTTGTCCTTTTACTCTCTGTTCACCTGCTTCCCTGAGTTTCTGACTCTTTTCTTCCAAGAAACTGTTGGTTTGAAGTGAATTTTTTAAAAAGGCTATAGGGAGCTGACAGTAAGTACAGCAATACTTGATCTCTGAAAGTGCTCTAGCAAAATGATGTGAAACTTGTGAACTCACGTCATGGGTAAGAAAGCCTGTTTGTCTTGGACCCCAGAGAGAGCTACCAGGAGTGGAGGCATGGTGTTTAGAACACATGTTTAACCTTCACTAAGAATCTGAAGTCACAGCTTAACAACATAATTATTTAACATTGGATTAATTATTTAACTTCTTTTCTAAAATGAGGATAATGATATAGTTATTACAAAAAAGTAATAGAAAGACTGTCAATATAATACTTATGTAATAAGAGACATTTCTTTCTCTCTTAATTGTATATAAAGTTGACTCTTGAACAACATGGGTTTGAACTTTGAGGGTCCACTTATACTTTTTTTTCCAATGGAAATTATCCTGAGTGTGCCTGCCTCTCCTCTTCCCCCTCTACCTCTTCCACCTCTGCCACCTCTGAAACAGCAAAACCAGCCTCTCCTTTTCCTCCTCTGCTTGCTCCACGTGAAGACAAGAATGAAGACTTTCATGAGGTTTCACTACCAGTTAATGAATAGCAAATATATTTTCTCTTATGATTTTCTTAATTACCTTTTCTTTTCTCTAGCTTACCGTATTGTAAGAATACTGCATATGAGACATTTAATATACAACACATGTTAGTCAACTGTTTATGTTAGCAGTAACATGAACAGTAGCTGTTTGTAGTTCGGTTTTGGGGACTCCAGTGTTATATTCAGACTTTTGACTGTGCAGGGGATTGGCGCAGCGCCCCTAATGCCCACGCTGTTCGAGGGTCAACTGTACTTATTTCGAATTTCAAGTCTCACTCATAATCCAAGGCCCTTCTTATCCACATATTCTTCTCAGGCTATTTCAACCACAGTTACCTCACCCATCTGTAAAGTCAAAGAAGTTCTCACCTGTATAAGACATTTGAAAGTAAATGGATTTGCCATGTGTGAGCTTGGAAAAGTTACTTCACTTTACTAAGCATCAGTTTTCTTAACTGCAAAGTAGGTCTGATAATAGTGTGATTCTGTTAGGACTGTTTTGAGGATTAAATGGGGTAAGAAGTGTAGGGCACTTGGCACTGTGCCTGGAAGGAGCCCTAGAAATGGTGAATCATATCGCTGCTATTATCAATTGCACTGACTTTCCATATTTCATATTCTCTTCTTTTGTCTAACTCTTACAACTTCAGTCTCTGTTTCATACAGGTCAGTATTATTTTCCAGCTACATTGTGGAGTTCTTCAGAAGAGTCTGGTTTTCACAATTAATTAATTAGTTAATGTAATGAAAGGACAGAAGGCAAAGGACAATATCTGGACAGAGATTCAGGTAGGGAGAAAGATACCAGTGCTGTGCCGGGGCCAGCTCTAGCCTGGCACCTGAATGTGAACACAGTTGTAAAATTCCAAGATTTCAAGTCAATTGATACCAAGTTGGTAACTTTAGCTCTCGCATGGTGAGGGTCCTTATCCCATGAAAAATAGACACTAGCTACGAACCTGGCTTCCACCACCCCATACTGTAAAACACTTCCCAGATACAATATTGAGCATGCATGCATTGACAGAATGGCAGTGGAGACTATACTAAAAGTATAGTCTCCGTAGGAAATATAAATCTATTCTTTTCTTAATTATCGTAATATTTAAATTGAATATATAGGCAGGGTACAGCGGCTCACACCTGTAATCCCAGCACTTTGAGAGGCTGAGGCCGGCAGATCACCTGAGGTCAGGAGTTCGAGACTAGCTTGGGCAACATGGCGAAACCCCATCTCTACTAGAAATACAAAAACTAGCTGGTCATGGTGGCGGGTGCCTGTAATCCCAGCTACACGGGAGGTTGAGGCAGGAGAATCGCTTGAACCTGGGAGGCGGGGGTTTCAGTGAGCTTAGATTATGCCATTGCACTCCAGCCTAGGCCACAAGAGTGGAACCCCATCTCAAAAACAAAAAATTGAATATATATTGATTGTATATATAGATGTATATATAGGGAATTTATAGTCACAGTACCTTTTAATATGTGCTGCATGATAACCAAATAATTCCTTCTGAACAGAGTGACTAGTAGAGATATAAAAGATAAAAATAAGTACATTGTAATAGTTGCATACAAAATTGAATATATCATTCTGAAAAATCCCAATTGTTTTTAACCTTTAGTTCACGCAATCTTATCAATTACTTTTTTGAATGGCTTGCTAAAGCTACAAGGAAGTAAATCCACTTTATATGGTTTCCAAGACATCCTTTTACACGGCTTCACACTGAAGATATTAGTCTTATAAAAAATAGTTCGGTTACAATAAAGGAAGGTAAATTTGAGGAGTTCTTTCAAGTCTTAAGCCTGCTGTCATGAATTACAATGACAAATGAATCTATTAGAGATGTGCCCCAGATTCTGTGATTAAATAAAACAAACAAAACAAGAAACATTTCCTCCATCCTCAATGTGGGGGACGTATTTTCCCAATATTCCCCCTCTGCCATATTCCCTTTTTCTCTGCATGGAACTCCCATACCACCCCGCACGAGACTTTAAGATGTTCTTATTCAAAACCTGCTTTTTTTTTTTTTTCCGGGTTGTGATAGTTGGTTGAACCCTGTGCTTTGAGTGTGTAGTAGAGATAGAGGTGAGATCAACAGAAAGGAGTCATCGCCCTTCTTATCTTGTTTGGGGCAGCAATGCAGTGGAAGGATGTACCTGAAGGGAGGGATGTGGACTGCCTTCATCGTCATCACTCATGGACTCAGCACGCTGCTGCTGTCCGCAGGAGAAAGGGCTCTCCATCAGGGCTTGGAGGAGCAGATGCTACTCCCAAAAGAGTCGGTTCTTAGTGCAAAATGACTTTCACTGCAGGCAGCCCCTAAATTATGTTGAATTATCCTGGGTTCTGCCTATTTTGCATGCACCCTCCTTAGGTCTACACTTGTAAGAAGGAATGAATGCGGTTTCAAATTTCCTGATGATGGCAGTATTAGAGATATTGAAATCAGTTGGGTATTCATTCAATTGTTGTGAAATAGTTTACATTTTGCTGACAATAGTAATCAAAAAAAGAGTCTATTCCAAGTTTTTATTGGTAAATATAAGGTTGATGCAAAACCAATTGCGATTTCTGACATTAAAAGTAATGGCAAAAACCGCAATCACTTTTGCATCAACCTAATAGATTTCTTGCAATAAAGATCATCTTTCCAGAAAAATAATGTTATATTTTGTTGTGGTTGATATTACATGTGAACTTGACCAGACCCTGGGGTACTAAGATATGTGGTTTCATATTATTCTGGATGTTTCTATGAAAATGTCTTTGGATGAGGTTAACATTTAAGTCAGTGGACTTTGAGTAGGTAGATAGCCCTCCCCAATGTGGGTGGGCCACATCCAATCAACTGAAGGCCCGAGTAGAACAAAGACTGACCTCCCCCAAGCAAGAGTGAATTTTGCCAGCATACAACATCGACTCTTTGCTGGGTCTCTGGGCTTCTGGCCTTCAGAATGAAACTGCACTTTCTCCTTCCCTGGGTCTATCACCTGCCAGTTCACACCAGAGATTTGGACTTTCCAGCCTCCATAGTCACATGAGCCAATTCCTTATATATGTAGGTATTATAATACTATGTATTATAATTCTTTCTCTCTCTCACTTCATATATATGTGTGTGTGTGCCTGTGTGTGTATCTATCTCTATATATGTCTCTCACTTTTCTCTCTTTCTATATATGTATATATAGAAGATATATATGTCTTCTACTTTTTTCTATTACTCTGGAGAACCCTAACAAATATAATAATAAGTATAAAATGAAACAAAACAAAATGAAAATAGTTGTGTTCTTCAGGGAGGATAAGGTTAGAGAAAGCCAAAGACTTTGGCACTGAGACTCCTGAACTGGATGTTGGTTGTTCTTCCAGTAGAAGGGATGGTCAGATAGTTAGAGATTTGGGAGAAAAATAGTGATCAATAAAAAAATACAATTTACATGTATAAATTTAAACAAATATCAACAGTATATAGCAAGAGTTTAAATGTTTTCAGTTTCAAAGTGTATGAGAGAATTAGATATCTAACAACTGTAGCATATATTATGGAAGGGAAATAATTTAAATGTTTTGTTTGAAGGGTCTTGCTCTGGAAAAAAAGAGAAAAGTAACAATTAATATAAAATAAATATAGGTTAAGATGTGTGATGCAATTTCTAGGGCAACCATCGAAAAGCAATAAATGTTTGTATATTTTTACATTTATGTAATAAAAAATTATAAAACTAAATCAATTTAAATACATGAAAGAAAAGAGAAAAATGGAAAGGGTAAAGAATAGAAAAAGTGTTGTAATACAGTAAATTTAATCTTAGAGATATCAGTCATTGCATTAAAAGCAAATGCAGTAGTAAACATGTGTGTATGTATTTTAGAGATAGATAGGTTCTCACTCTGTTGCCCAGAGGGCTGGACTGCAGTGGTGCAATCATGGATCATAGCAGCCTTGAACTCTTAGGCTCAAGCAATCCTCCCACCTCAACCTTCCAAGTAGCTGGGACTATAGGCATGCACCACCATGCCTGGCTAATTTTTTCTCTTCTCATTTTTTTTGTAGATACAGGGTCTCACTGTGTTGCCCAGTCTGATCTTGAACTCCTAGGTATAAGCAATCCTTCCACTTCAGCCTCCCTAAGTGCTGGGATCCGAGGCTACAGCACGAACCACCTTGACTCACTTAGTAAACATTTAGATAAAAGGGTGTGAGTGGCGGGACCTGATTTCCCCCTGTTTGAGTGGAGTTTCCAGATGAGCAAGAGGAAAAGTCTAGAAGGCTCCATGTTATGGGTTAGGGTTTGTAAGATCAGAATAGAAATTTCAGCTTAATATTGTTAATATTAATATTGTTACAGACAGTTTTACATAGAACTAATTATAGGTATGTACATAGTCACAGGTTAGTGCACACATATTTTTTCTTACTATGTCAGGTGAAAGGGCTCAAAGTCAAGGACACCTCAGTTGCAAGGAGCTCACTCAGTGTCCAGATCTTGGTTCTGATGCTGCTCTTCAAAAAAAATACCTAGATATCCCAGGAAGAGGGCAAGAAACATATCAGGTGACCCTAGAGCGTCTTGTAGTACCAGAAAAAAAGAATCTGGTATTCTAAATAATTTATATAGACATTTTATTCTAAAAAGCTGAGACGTAACATCCTATTCCTTAAATGTGGACTATATAAAGCAATCTATTTCTAAAGAAGGCTGTACAGAAATTGTGAAACAAATAATCTTTACAGCAGAAAAACCTGAAATGCTATCTCAGCCAGGTAGTCCAGGCAGACATTGGAAGTGCTAAGTTATGTTGATAGCACATATTATATGTGATGCGATGTGATAAAATGACACTAATCCTCTCTAGTCTTCCTGTGAGAACATATAACCTCAATTTAATAATGAGAAACATATGTGACAAATCTCAGTTGAGGAATGTTCTAGAACCATGATCGGAACTCCTCAAAACTGTAAAGGTTTTGAGGAAACAAGGAAAGTCTAAGAAACTATCACAACCACGAGGAGATTGAGAGACAGGACAATGGAATATAATGGGGCCTGCCATATAGGATCTTGAACAGAAAATACATACGTGCAAAAACTAAATAAATCTGAATAAAGCCTGGACATTAGTTAATAATGTATCAAGACTGATTTTTTAATTGTATCAGTGTATCATACTGAGATAAGACGTTAAAAACAGAAATGCTTAGGATGGGGTACACAAGAACTTTCTGTACTGTCTTCTTAATTCTTCTGTAAATCTAAGCTTTTCTAAAAAATAAAGTTTATTTTAAAAAATGGACACGATCCTTCAATTATAACTCAAAATGGCTATTCTGGATGTTTAAAAAATTTCAAAACCCAATAATAGACTGTTAAAAAGAAGCATATTTAGAAATATTAAGATGCAAGAAAATCAAAAGAAAAGGGCAAAAACACTGATCTCCAGAGAGCTGATATTAAAATCTACCAATAGAGGAGATAAAACATTATCTGTATTAAAAAGACATGCATTATAAAAATAAAAATTACAACTCATCAGGAAAATAGAATAATTCTAAATGATTATGTACCACATTACTTATTCTGATAACATATTAAGCAAAATGTTTTATAATCTCAAAAAATTATATTTACAATTAGAGTGAGAAATATTACATACCTGTCTAAATAATTGATAGAAAAAGGCAAGAAAAAAATCTTAGCAAGGATATAGAACATTTGCAAAATATGTTTAGTACATAAAACCTTACTTTAGATATATACATTGCTCTTAAAAACTACAGAATACACACAGTTAAACTCGTGGAAGCCGAGCATAGAAAGGAAATAAAAAAGAGTCATCACTACAAATCCTACAGACTTTTAAAAGAAAACAAAGAATATCATGAGCAAGATTTTGCCATTACTTTTCAATATGTAGATCAAATAGACAAATTCTTAGAAAATTAAATAACTACTAAATTATGCAAGTAGAAATAAGAAATATCAGTAATTTTGTTTCCAACAAATAGACATTATATTTTTAAAAATATTTTCCCCCCAAAACTCCATGTTTAGCTTGATTCACCAGGAAATTCAAACAAATATTTTAAAGAAATAAAACAAATATACCATAAACTTAAAAAAATAGAGAAATGATCAGCTTTGTATCAAAACACAAAAGAATATATAGAAGTTATCAATTTCACTAATAATTATAGATGCAAAAATTCTGAACAAAATATTTGCAAACTAAATTCAGCAATATGCAAAAAGTACAATACATAACAACCAACTTAAATTTGTTTCAAAAAATCAAGTTTGCCTAACATTTAAAAATCGATCAATATAGTACATTATACTGACATTTTAAAGAGAGGAAATATTCTTGAATAGTATGTGTTTGAAATTCAAGAAACAGGTGTAATTTTATTTAGAAATGCATTATTTTATCTTAAAGCTACCAAGGAGAATGAGGAGATTTTTATAAAATCACAAATTGCGTTAATGTTAAGGAGACTGTAGAAAATGCCAGTGGAAAAGCCCACAAAGGTTGTGGCCTCCTACCTCTGTGGTGTTTGCACCACAGAGTTGTTGTTATGCGGGTATTTGTTTAAATAAAATGTATTAAGCTGTGCATTTGGTGTGGAGCGGCTTTCAATGAGTGCATCATAAAGTATAAAATAAAAAGAAGTCAATGAGAATAACCTTCAACAGAAAACTACAATAGGAAAAGCCACAGAGTGATCAAGTGGACCCAAAAATCATAGGTTTTCTCACAGAAATCTTAAAGGAATATAAATTGGTTAGTCATTTAAGAAAGCAACTTGCCAGCAGGTATCAAGAGCGTAAAAATTATTATTTGATTTAGATCCAGCAATCATGTACTTGTGATAAGAATTATATATTAGAATTATGGAAATAATTATAAGATTTACTTTCACAACGTATATCTGGTTAGTTTAAACATCCAGCATAGAGTGCATAAGCATGTCATGGCATAACCACCAATAAAATTATCTTTATTTGAGATGTAATTCTACATTTCAGTTAAGATGTAGAATTTGGGCCAATAGCTTGATATTTCGCATTTTCACAATTTTGGAAACAGAGAAACATAAATAATTTAAAGAGTGGTTTGAATGATTTTACTTATGTATTGCTTGAATATACATGCAGTGTGTGCATTTCTACTAGGCATTGAGAGAAGAGTCCTATATTTTCCTAGTACTATATTTCCAGGTTTAACACTGAATTTTGGCTGTATCTAAGTAATAGATAATAAAATAATCGTAGACAACATTCTCTTAGGAAACAGTCATGAAACTGGCTCTTAGTGATCATTTGGCTCAGGATACGCACACACATGGATATTCTCCACTGAGGGCCTCACTGTAGTAGACGGGAGGGTCACCCCTGTTCAGCAAATCATCAGAATGAGAAATGGAGAGGGATGGTGGGTGGGACTAACCATTTGAAATAACTTCTGGAATGTGTCTTTTAGGAGTTTGGTTTCAGTACAACAAATGCCTTACTTCTAATGCCTTATCTACATGCTTCCAAAACAAAATTATAGATCTTATTTTAGATTGCAAGAAAAGGGTCACAATGACCTGAGTTCTGAATTATAAATATCATTTTATTAAAAATACACATTAAAAAAATCTGAAAGCACAGAATGGCCAGTGGATGGTACTAATTTAGACGGGAATAAAGTGAGCAGGATTTTAACTGATGCAGAAGGGAAGGACTCAGAGCCCACTGTTAATATTATATAAGAAGGAATATCCCAGATAAAAGGTAATCAGTTTTTGCTTGCCTTTTAACAGTATTCTTTCTACTTGACTATATAGCATTCACTTTTTTTTCCTCGGGAAACATGACTATGTGTGAGTGATACTGTGTACCTGTGTATTGACATGTGTGTGTGTGGGCTGTGTGTGTGTGTGTGTGTGTGTGTGTGTGTGTGTATGCAGGCACTGTTATTGCTTTCATAGAAACTGATTCTGAAAGAAATTTCAGAAGGGAAGAGACAAGTTCTTGGCTTGTTGTAGACTGGAGGTGCAATCTAAAAGAATTCAGGGGGAAAAAACCTGGAGCCATGGGGTATGTTCTTGACTGTGAAAGCATATTTCATTTATATCCCCAGTCCACTAGCGCAGTTTAACCATGTGATGGACTTGACCCCTGACACACACATGTTCAATTACTTTGGACATTAAGAACTTAAAAACAAGTTCAGACTGACACTGTTAGACACAACATTCTCCCACACCTGATCCCAAGGTTCAAAATGCTGTATGTCCTGATTTATTTTGTTTGTTTGTTTTGTGAGTTATCTTTATAGTGATAGTCATGGTGTTATTTCAAATCTTCATTAAAATATTATAAATGGTGAAACAAATAGTGACCTCAGCCTTCACCTTCTGACAGGTGTTCACGGATAATGAAGCTGATGTGAGAGCCCTGGAGAGAAACATCAGTCAAAGGCATGCAGGTTGTGAATACAAACCTCACTTGTTTCCAGACAGATTCTTCATCATAATGATTAGGACAATGACAGTACAAACATTCTCATCCTACAAAAATAAGTAATCACAACCACACCTTATCCAATATCTGTACAGCAATTGTGCCATACACATTAAATTCAGATTTTTATAATGTAATTTAATCTGTATTTCAAGCCACAATCTTGCTGAAGTTCATAATGTTTTGTTCCAACCATTCTTGTAATCCCCTCTGGTGACATGCCATGGTGCCAGCATCTTAGTTGTTCCCATGGCACTAGTAGGTGGAGGCATCGAGACTGCTGTGTCCTCTCTTCTTGCAGGGAATCCCATCCAGCGTCCCTCTACTCTCCTCTGCAGCTTCCATGGTTGGAATGCTGAGCCATTGCTAGGACGATGAGGCTACAGGAAAGTGAAATGCACCTGCTGCGATCTGATCCAACTGACCACTCCTGCTGCTCCTCCCTTGCACCTCAGGCATCTCCTTCCAATCTGGAGGAAACACTTTTACCTCCACTTTTCTTTTACAGTCCTCCAAACTCTGTTCCTTCTAGGGAGCACAAGTACAGAAATAGAAACCTGGACTCCCATCATCCTGCTTCACAAACTTACAATGTTAAAGAAAGAAAAAAAAAAAGACCAAGTACATTACCTGGTAGAATTGGAGAGATGGGCACGAAAGAGCTGTAAATACAGTTAGAAAACACACTAGCATTTACAAATGTGTATGAGAAACAATGAGGAGGATTTTCAGAGACTATCATAACCATTTATTTTTCTAATATGTGATAAGTAAACGCACAGAAAATCAATTTAATATTTGGGGCTTTTATTTCTCATTTTTTAGATTGCCAGAAAGACTGTCCAGTGTTATAAAGTTTGTGTCAATATTCTGGAATTGGCAATTTTGTCATTTATATGGGAGAAATAGCTAAAGGTGTAGTATAAAGTATTTGCTCGTAGGTAATGGAATGTTACCTTTACCCAAAGATATAAAAAATAAACGGTAGAACAAAAACTCAGAGTGAAATGTGTCCTTTTCTTCTTTCGGTGTCATGCATTAGCATCCTCATTTATCTTCATGGTACTCATGCAATGTAAAAGGCCATAATTTATAGCACTTGACCTACTGGATTTCCTGGGGGCATAATGCCATTGAGTTGGCTTAATAAACCTCTACTTTTTGCTTTCATTGACTCTGTAAGGAAATAAAAATAGAATGGGAGAGAAATAACATTAATTGTAAGTACCAAAAAAAAAAATGGTGCCATTGTACAAGGTTTAAAGTGTTCGAGTGAAAGAATAAACTATTGGGAATTAGAAGCCAGTCTTCCTGAGAGTTTTTCTCAAAATGGAAGACTCAACTGAAAATTGTGTGTCTATTTTCTCTGTGCATAAATCTTTTAAATCATAACCACCCTCAAATCTTAAATAAGCCCCTATACTCTAAGTATCGTGTAAAAATTAGGTAAAATATTTATGACACAGAACAGTGTTTTCCCAACAGTGCAAACTTGATTAATGGAGAAAATGTATTTTAAAATTAGCATATTCTCTATCTTGTTTTGTCTATGTGCAATTTTCAAAACTGGAAGAATAGAATCCTCAGAGGAATTTATAATGAACACATGTTAAAGATTTATGGGGCAGCTATCGAGGGGCCCAGCAGGAAGAAAAGCTTGTTCCGAGAAGAACACGAGACACGGCTATGCCCGCAGTCAGTTACCAAACGAGAGTGATGAAATAGGCTTGCTAAATTAGATGAAAGAAAACTCGTTCACACACTGCACAGCAATAGCACCAGAACTTCGGGGATCACGCTCTCTACTGCACAAGAATTATTTCCAAGTCTATACAAAATGGACAACTCTTTCGTTTTCTAAAAATTAACAGCAGACTTTACACAGTCAGGGCTTTAAACAACTATGGATGATAAACAGAAGAAGGTTACATGCCCAAGAAAGACAGATGGTTTTTAGACAGGCTTAGAGAACAATATTTCAGCCTACTGTGCCATGAAAAAAAAAATGAAAAAGAAAAACAAAAAAACAAAACAACACGGTCTTTGTTTCTTTGGACTTACTCAAATTTTATATTCTTTTTGGAGGACTTTTACAATTATGGAAGAAATAAGTTTTCCTCGTGTATTTTTTAAACTTAAAATGGTCCCCATGGTCTGATTCGTACAAATGTACTAATAAGGAGAACTATGAGCCATCTGCCTTGAACCCCAAATGTCCTTGGAAATCCAGAAATGAATTGCAGGCGAGGGCGTGGGGAGGGTGACGGGTGGGCACTACCACACGGCGGGCTTCACGCAGCTTCTCCAGGGACCTGGTCGCAGAGGTGTCTTTTTCTTGGGATCAAGGTCTAGTCAAACAGAACAGGCGACTTGCCATATTTTCCCCAAAGGAGATGAAGTTCTGTCTTGCAGAAAGGCACATGTCATATTGTACGTGAAAAGGGAAGCTGGAGAGTGTCACCTGTGAACGTTGGATTTCTTAGTTTGCTCCCTCCTCTTCTATGCCTTTCTCTAGCTGCCACATCTGTTATCCTTGCATACTATTGTGGAGAAGAACATGCCTGCTTCTTCCCTGTGGGACATAGAATGGTATTAACTGGGACTATACAACAATTTCATCGCAATTTCATAGGGCGTGGTGAAAGGAAGGGAGTTGGTAGTTTTTTATTTAAATTAAATTAAATTTATTTATTTGTTTTAGAGACAGAGACTCATTCTGCCACCCAGGCTGGAGTGAGTGCAGTGTTGGGATCTTAGATCACAGCTCACTGCAACCTCCATCTTCTGGGCTCAAGCAATCCTCCCACCTCCAGCCTCCCAAGTAGCTGGGACTACAAACACAAGCCATCACACCCTGCTCTTTATATTTTTAATTGTGTGTGTGTGTGTGTGTGTGTGTGTGTGTGTGTGTGTGTGTGTGTGTGTGGAGACAGAGTCTCACGATGTTGCCCAGGCTGGTCTTGAACTCCTGGCCTCAAGCGATGCTCCTGCCTCGGCCTCCAAAGAGCTGTGGATGACAGGTGTGAGCTGCCGTACCTGGCGGGTGATTGCTGACCTCCCTGGCAAGGTCTTCTTGTTGCTTGGCTGCTGTTGAAGTGGAAGTCTCACTGTTATGCACAGAGGCAGCTCACAGGTGAAGGAGTTGACTCTGTATAGTGTTGTTGTGCCTTTAGTGAATAAAACAGAATTTCTGCTAAACCCAAAATCTCATTCCAGTTTCTTTTCAGTTAACTAAAACTTATACAAGGGAAAGCAGTCTTTCATGCAAAAGCGAGCAATAACGCTTTTAATTCAAAAGCACCTGAGAGACATGACCCATTCCTTTAAGCCCACGTTGAGTATCAATGACTTATCTATAAACCCTTAGAGAACACTTGGAGGGAGAAGAAAGTAATCACTAAGGACAATGGGCAGCCTGGCGTGATGGAGATGAGGCTGTAACTAGGGGAGAGAAATTCTGCTTTAAATGAGTCAATTCCAGGTAACGTCACGTTGGAGCTAGTATCTCCTTTCTTCACCTAAACTTTGGTAAAGGTGGAGGCAGATATGAATTATCTCACTGAGGTAGAAGTAACAAGATTTGGTGAATTAAGAGGTGTAAAAAAAGGGGTTAAAGATTCCAGCCGAGTGCCTTGGCTCACGCCTGTAATTCCAGAACTTTGGGAGGCTGAGGGGTGTGGAACGCCTGAGGTCAGGGGTTTAAGACCAGCCTGGCAAACATGGTGAAACCCTGTCACTACTAAAAATATAAAAATTATCTGGGCGTGGTGGCATATGCCTGTAATCTCAGCTACTCAGGAGGCTGAGGCAGGAGAATCGCTTGAGCAAAATCAGCTCTCTCTGTCCACCTCTTTCTCTCTTCCTGCCACACTGTGACCCCTCTGCTCTCTCTATTTTGCTGAACTTCAAATGTATTCACTTTTTAAATAACTTATTTTAATGAAAAATCTTAAAGAGGTCAGAAGTTTGAAAGATTAGATTTCATCTTGATTTACTTATAATATTTTGAGTATAGAATTTCACATAATTTTCTTAGTGCTCTAGGTTAAGTAAACACAGTACCTGTGTTTAACTAACACAGGCCACTTATATCAACATTCCACCACTTAATGTGACATATAGAAATCTTATGTTCATTTACATCCCTTTACGTCCCCATGTTTTAAATATAATTGCCGTATGTATTTCCTCTCCATATTTACATATTGATTGTCACATCACATAATGTTAGAATTTGTGCTTCTACCATCAGATATGATTTGAGAAACTTACGTGAAGGATACAGTTTATTATATTGGCCTCGATTTTTGATCATTCTAGTGCTCTCTGTTGTCGTTGCTAACAAGATTCCAGGTTTTCTCCAGTTATTTCCTTTCTGTGTGGAGAAGCTCCTTTAGCCATTCTTCAAGGGTGAGCTCGTTGGTAACAATTCCTCTTCGTTTTCCTTGTTGGAGAACATCTGCATTTCCCCTTCATTTCCTGAAGTGTGTTTTCACTGGATAGAGAATTTATTTGACAGGTCTTTCATTTCAGTGCTTGAAGTACCTTGTGGCGCATCCTTTGAGCCTTCAGGGTCTCAGATGAGAGGTCGGCTGTCAATCTAACGGGACTTCTATCAGCAATGTGTCGTTCCTTTTCTTTCTGGATGTTATCAATTTTTTTCTTTGCTTTTAGTTTTAGGAGTTTTATTATGAATGTGTCATAGCATGGGTATCTTGTTGGGGTTTTATTCAGCTCCTTGAATCTGTTGGTTTATATCTTTTGCTAAATTGTGGGGGGATTTCCAACAATTATTCTCTGAAATGTTATATTAAGTTTCACTTGCCTTCTCTTCTCCCTCTGGGACTCTGGTGATAGGAAGGCCAGCTCTTTTGTTATTGTCCCACAAATCCCTATAGCTGTTCATGTTTTAAATGTCTATTTTCAGGCCAGGCATGGTGGCTCGTGCCCGTAATCCCAGCACTTTGGGAGGCTGAGGCGGGCTGATCACTTGAGGCCAGGAATTTGAGACCAGCCTGGCCAACATGATGAAACCCCATCTCTACCAAAAATACAAAAATTAGCCGGGCGTGGTGGTGTGTACCTGGAATCCCAGCTACTCGGGAGACTGAGGCAGGAGAATCACTGGAACCTGGGAGGTGGAGTAGCAAGTGTGTCTCAAGGAACTTATTTTGTTGTCCTACAGGAACAAAACACTTCTACCTCAATAGCAACCCACACAGCCTGACCTCTTTTCCCTTGGTCTCATCCATCCAGAAATGCTAAGTATCTCTTTTGTAAGTCTCCACTTAAGATGCGGATGATTTTTGTTGTTGTTGTTGTTGTTGTTTTTACACAAGGCTTTGCTTGTTCTGTCACCCAGGCTGGAGTGCAGTGGCATGATCACAGCTCACTGCAGCCTCAACCTCCTGGGCTCAAGCAATCCTCCCACTTCAGCCTCCAAAGTAGCTGGGACCATAGTAGTGCACCACCACACCAGCTAAATTTTTTATTTTCTGTAGAGATGGGATCTCACATTGTTGCCCAGGCTGGTCTCAAATTCCTAGCTTCAACGATCCTTCTGCCTTGGCCTCCCAAAGTGGATCTTTACAAAGTTAGTGGGATTTGATTCTTTTCAAACATTGTGTTTCTGTTTCCGTATTTGTCTACCTTACTCAAATGACCTGTTACTTGGAAAATGTGCAAAAATAGAAAGCAAATGTCAAAATAATTTTTAAAATAGGTGACTAACAAAGTGTTCTTGTCTAAAGTACTTTTCTTATTATTCACCTTCAGTGAGTAAAACTCAACAAAAAGTCGAAGACAGCTATTAAATTGAACATGACACCTGCCAGATTTTACTATCATTTTTTTCAGAGTGGGCTGTTACATAGTTGATAACTGGATGAGTAGGTTTTGACGATGGAATGAATTCACATAGAGGCATTACAATGAGGAAACCTGGATAATTACTTTCTAAAACAATAAAAAAAGTTTTATAATTGGAGGGATAATCTGGATGGAAGACTAGGGCACTAGAAATGAACTTCAGCTACATCACGTGACGGCCAATAGCCCTGTACCTGTGATGGTCCTCCAGTCCTCTGTCCGCCGCAGCAAAATGTGACGAGGCCAGTTTTCTCCAAGGATCCCATCCACCACTGTCTCTTCTTAACAGAGAAGGGACTTAAAGCCCCACTGAAAGTTTCTTAGTTTAATTTACTGCCATTGACAGAGTTAAGGGCAGAGTTGAATTATGTGCTAGTCTAGGGAGGTGAATATTAAAGGTGAGTCGACAGCTCTTTTGTCAAGGATTAATGAGTGGCTTTGTAAATTAATAGCAGCAAACGGGATACAAGGGTGCCTGTAAGGAACCTCAGTTGTAGAGGATGGGGGATGCATGAGAGAGAGGTTATAGAAACATGTGTGTTACAAAAAAGGCTTACAGGGTTGTAATTGGGGAGCTACCGTATCTAAATACATCAGAATTCCTTAAGTTAGAAGTCATAATAACACAGTTATGCAGATTTAGAAGATGAATAGTTGACAAAACAACCAGAAAATATAGAATTTTGGATACAGCAACCAAATTCTGCCATCATATTCTATTATTGTCATTTTTCTACTAAATAGAATGAAATATATATTGGGAAGAGAAACATATTTTTAAATTATTTTTATTAATTGAGGTAGTAATGTTTTAAAGGTGAACACTAATAGAGATTAACTGAAATTGCTACATTTAATTAATTTCAAAACCTAATTTGTATAAGAAGATAATTATTTTTGACATAAGAATTTGTAAGAAAAATACCAAAAAGTTTGTAATTAAACACAATCCGGGCCTTAAAAAGTGACACATAAAAAGGGTTTTTACCCCTTTGCTTTGTGCCAATGAGTGCATTGTGTTCAGGTCAAGGTTATTTCATGGTTAATAAGGTCTTGGTGCGGGTTGGATTACTTCTAAACTTCTGTTGTAACACAGGTGCCTTTGTGTAAGAAATGTACTTACAAATGGATGCAGAGAAGGAGCAAAAGCCAGAGATTAGAATGCCAGCATTGGGAACAAAATCCCATGTGGGAAAATTGAAGAAACTCAGAATATTTGACAGGAAGCTCTGTACAACAGAGGACAAGGATGACACTGGTGTCCCAGTGGGATTCACTAACTGATGTTACATATGTGGAAGAACAAAGGGAAAAATAAGTAACGCAGGGGAAAATGTAGACGTAAACCTCCTCAAAGGAAGAAGTAGCAGTGAAAGACTTTTAACAATGGAACGTCTTCTTTGTTAAATGGCAGAGTCTGAAGAGGATGGCATATATTTCTGTTCCAGCAGGTTCCTGCTAACTCTATGATTCTAAGAAACAGTTCTTCCAAAAATTTGATCATGGCTGTATTCTGCACGATATTTTCCAAGATAAAGCAAAGAGGTTTTCATTTTGGAAATATTCATGAGTTTTCCCTAAGTCAAGAGTTTTTTGTTGTTGTTCTTTTGTTTTTCTTCATCATTTGCAAAAGTGCCTCGACATACAGATGTTTGAAGTCAGGAAACTTTGGAGGACGTCGGCGCATAAATGGGAACTGCTTGGTGTCCCATGGAGCTGCCAGTGGTGCATGCCTGAAAGCCATCTTGCTGCAGGGACCACATGGGGACCACCAAATCTGTCAGACAGCAAGCCAGGCAGTGCTCACAGCTCCACTTCCTCCTCTATGACAACGGCAGATGACTTGGCTCTTCGTGGAATTGCACAATGAATAAACTTCCCGACCAAGTGATAGTCGCTGATGTGAATCCTACCCATGGGGAAAATATCTCAGTGTTGTTTATTTCTGTCAATGGGAAAATGACATTTGTTACAAAACAACTAAAAATGTGTCTTGGAGCATTCAAGCACTATTCACTGCTAAGATTCGGTGGAAACCTGAATCACATACATTTATGAGACTATAAACAAAGGGTGGTATGAGAAACGCGTCCTTTGACCTTGCATAGTTCAGGGCTCAAATGATGTAGCTGCCCTGGCCTAGGTGAATTACACTTTCATCTGTGTCTGCTTCCCTGTCTTTACCGTGGGGGTAAGCCTGACTCACCACCGGTGCACTACAGAACGTAAATCATACAGTGTGCGTGAAGAGGACATCCAATCAAGGGTCCACTCGTTTCCCCCACCCCCCAACTCCTTTCCATGACTGACAGTTCACCAAAGGCTTCACACCCATGAACTGGAAATGGTGAGGAAGTTCTCAGGCAGGAAATGCCAGGGGGTGTTATTTCCCGGCAATCCTGAAAACCATCAACTGTTTTTAGATACATGATTGTTAATTAAGACCCCTGAGAGGCTTGTTCCAAGACTTCGATGCTGGGTTCATACTGAAAGTACAGTATTCCTTTCATGCCTTCCCGAAGGGAAGGGGATTAAAGTAAGTTTAAAAAGCCATTGTCCTGGGTCCTAGATAAGGTTTGTTCCCTACTGAAGAGATCTGGACAAAGAAGTCAGTGTTCTCTTCTTATTCTTGCACACGTAGAAAGAAAGATTGATGTGCACAGGCAAACACATAGGCACATGCAAACAAGGCACACACACCCCCTCAGGAAGAGTCTTGAAGCTAAATATACTATTTTGTCTCCTGGGTTCATATTCAATGAATCTTCATGCTAATAACATATAATCAAATCTCTGGAAAGGTTTAAAAGCAAAAGAAATATAAACAAAGCTTTTACTTACCCTTAATTTGATTCCTGGTTGGCCAGCAGTGCTTTATAGTCTATGGTTATTATCCACATGTATTTCCATTTAAACCATGCCAGCTGAGGCCACTTCTCATCTGAGAATCGTAGCCGCAGTCCCAGAGGAAAATAAAAGCATGTCACTTTAAATTTTATGGCAGGGCCAAAGAAATGTCAGATTCCTGCCTCAGCTGTATAACGACACACATTATATTTGACCCGAACACATCCCATCAATTCATGTTCATGAGAAAATTACACTTTGGATTTACTTGATTCCTGTTCTTTATCCAATTTCTTACATAAAAAGTCAATTTGATGTTCTCTTCAGTGGCCACTGTATACATATCACATTCAACATCAGCATGTGAATATCATGAAAGTTTTATAATATTTTTGGAAATGCTGACTAAAATGTTCCCCTTGTTCTTCCTATACTACTCAATAATTGCAATCGAATTAATTTTAATTAGTTGTACTGAGTCTCTTCTAAGATGCATTGCATTTCTGTGCTGATAAATTTTAAATCAGATTACTAGTCTTTTTTTCTTTATAATTTTTTTTTCAAATCTGAGCACTCATCTGCTGTGTATTTCTTTCTATCGCACTGTCTTCCCAAGGACATTAAGTATATTCTTTACTGTATGTTTCTGTAAATAAGTGGGATATTTTAACTTGTAACTATCTCTGTAGAATGAGTCACAATTTTCCAAATTCTTGTTACATATGTAACATCAGTAACATACGTAACATCATAACATCGATCAGGTTCTGATGAGTTGATTTTACTTTTCCTTGATTTTCATGTATGGCCTCTGGAAGATGTTTTGTCTCACAGACTCAAAAAAAGGAAGAAAAGGATGCATTTATTTGCGTTCTTATTTTGCATGTAGTTGGATTAAAATGTATACTTTTAGAGGAAATTCCTTTTATATAAGATACATAATTGTCAAACTCATATAATCGGAGAGCAGAATAGTGGTTGCCAGGGGCTAATAGGAGGGGGAATGAGGGGTTGCTAATCAATGGGTATAAGCTTCAGCCATGCAAGATGGATACGTTCTAGAGACCTGCTGCTGTACAACACAGTCTACGGTCAAAAATACTGTGCTACACCCTCAGAAATCTAAGAAGGCAGAAGCCATGTCAAGTGTTCTTGTAACAATACAAAAACTTTTTCTTTTAAAGCATAACCAAATCCTGCAGGTAGATGTGCTCTTGAGTGAACTCACGGTGGTGTCCCTATAGTGAAATGGGTACTTGAAGAGACGTCTGCTGTGGGCAGGAGAGGCAGGAATGCTGGAGAATATATTCTTGGGGTGAGACCCTCAGGATGACAAAAAGTCTCCAAGCAAGAAGGTGGTCATGTGTCGGCCTCCGTAGTGGAAGGAGCAACAGGTGCACCAGCATGGGCTTCTGCCGCGACAGCCCTGCGGAGAAAGGCGTGGTGCACTTGATGGAGACGGGAGGTGGGTTCATGGGAGTTTCTCTTTCGTTCACTTTACTTTTTCTAGGGAGTGTCTTCCCCAGCCATCCTCACATCCACTGTTCCCAACCACCATCCACTTACCAAAACGTACACATTCTATGTAGCATTTTCTCAAAAGATTATTATTATTATTGAGATGGAGTCTCGTTCTGTCTCCCAGGCTGGAGTGCAGTAACGCGATCTTGGCTCACTGCACTTCTGCCTCCCGGGTTCAAGGGATTTTCCTGCCTCAGTCTCCAGAGTAACTGTGATTACAGGCACCTGCCAGCATGCCCGGCTAGTTTTTTTGTACTTTTAGTAGAGACGGGGTTTCACCATGTTGGCCAGGCTGGTCTCAAACTCCTAACCTCAGGCGATCCGCCTGCCCGGCCTCCCAAAATGCTGGGATTACAGGCATGAGCCACCGCGCCCAGATATTTTAAATTATACATAATTTCATTCATGTTAGCTAGTTAATACAATAGGACCAAAATCTATATATTAACAGGGATTTGGATGAATTAAATGTGAAATAAAAATCATAGTTATTATAGGGGATTCCCATATATATTTTATGTGCATATATGCATCTATTTGATTACTATCTATATTGTGTGTCTGCACAAATATATATTTTATATTATCTTATATAATATATATTTACATATCTATATAATCACACATGATATATATAATTTCTATGTAATTATACATTATATATTATATTATATAATATAGAAGTATATGTTATAATATATTATATAATATAAAAGTATATATTATAATATATACTTCTAGACTATGTCCTAAACTCTCATTTTATATTAGATATGTCTTATATATAAAATATATATTACTTTTTGTATACATAATATACAATTAGAGTCTGGAGCATTTATTTCATCTATATAGACTTGTCATGTTAAGTTCCCAGAAGCAGATTTAGTCCTGAGAATATTTTAGAAACTTATGGCCTTGTTAGCCATTGAGATAATTCAAGTAGAAGATGGTACCACTGTACAATATAACAGTGGATAGCACTTACATAATTGATAGAATTATTAAGAAAAATAAGAAAATACATGATTTAAGAAAATATAGTAATGGCTAAAAGAGGAGCAACTGTGTATAATTACAGTCATTATTCATAAAATAGACAAATAATATTTTATTTGTATTTTCAGAAACGATTCATATGTATATTGGGTGATAGCTTTTGTGACTACTTATGTATGTTCTCAGATGAAAGCCTTTTACATCATTCTTTATATCATTTATAGTGTTTTATTTCAAAACACACACATGAGGCCTGGAAGTAAGATATTTTGGAACTGAAATCTGATGATTCAAAGTTCTGTAAGCCAATGTACAATTGGTAATCCAAAAATTTATCTACTAATTTTAAAAGTTGAGCATCGTATCTTTTCTTTAGTTCTGTTAAAATATGATTACAGTTTGAGCCAGAGCACACCTTAGAGATCATCTAATCTGGTTTTATATTCCCATGATGAACCTGAGGCTGGGATCCGTTGAATGACATGCAAGCTTCCCTCCAGACAAACGTGAAGCTGGGGTATCATCTTCTGGACATCCTGCTCTCTGTTTCTTACCTGATTGTGTGCTGGGGAACTGGAAATTATTCACTTTGGCCAAAATGCAGAGTACTATTTTCAGGAACTGGAAGAAGTAAGAAATTGTGAGAGCTGAGGGACAATAGATCAAGTCTTACATGCCAGGTTGCTGAGCTAAGTCCACCCTGGACGTTCAGATCCGGATGCTTAAATATGAGGTCGGGCAGGAGGAATCCCTGACAAGGTCAGAACCACTGTCTCTGGAAACTGGATAATGCTCACCCGTTTACTGAGATGAGTGGCTTCGAGAAAGATGTGAGCCTAGTTTCCATGCACTGAATTGGAGGAGCCCACGGGACAGGGGCGATGACCACTAGTCAGTTAGACACGTGTCTGGGGATTAGGAACAGATCCAGACTGGAGAGTAAACGCAGGAGTGTGGAGTGCACAGATGACAATTTTACTCATAAAAGGGGCAGAAGTAGCCCACAGAGGGTTCATTTAATCTTCTGTGAAGAAAGTGAGTACTGGGGCTAGAATCTGAGTTACAGCAGAGCAAGGACAACAAAGAACAAGAGCCTTCCTCCACCCACTACCTGGAAAAGCAAAAGCAAGGGCATTTTCAGAACAATTCTAAGCTCATCCTGGATAGAAAGTGACATACAACCCTCATATTAACCAAAGCCCCGTCTCCTGGGGAGCAATCCCTTATCGCTAATGGAGAAGAGAATCTCGGCTCTCAATTGGCACTGAACAACTTGAGAAGGCTCAACGTTTGAGGCAGTTTCTGGGACAAATCACATGGAAACATGAAATTCCAACTGCTGCTGATGGTCCGTTTGAAGTTTTGGATGGGTCAAGGGGAGAATTCAAAAGTTCCAGGAGCTTAATAGCTGAAAATGTCAGACAATATTAAGGAGATATAGAGCCTAAAAGTAAGTCAGAGGCACATACGCTATGAGGGCTGTGAAGCAGGAGTCATTTAGAGGAATACGCAGCCGGGGGCTCAGTCAAGATTGCAGGTGGAAAATGGTAAACAATGGCTGAAGAATATGAAAAGCTGGAAATGGTAGGGCTGAAATTGTTACACCTGGCAAGCAGTGTTTTGTTTTGTTTTATTTTGCGTTGTTTCTATTGTTTCCTATCTAACGGGTTTCTTTTTTTTTTTCTTTCTTTCTTTTTTTTTTTTTTTTTGAGACAGAGTCTTGCTGTGTCTCCCAGGCTGCAGTGCAGTGGTGTGATCTCGGCTCACTGCAAGC